>NC_000023.11:34392839-34543196 GCF_000001405.40 Homo sapiens
GCCTCAGATAGCATTGGTAAGGAGTACTATCTTCACCCTGCCATCCTGGCTGCACTGACACACATGGAACAAAATCAGCAAAGTCAGCACTCATTAATGTAGGTGAATTATTATGGATCTGTTTAGAAAGTGCCTGTTACATTCTGGTTAGCTTTGTTTCAATATTTATAATATTTAAGAGAAAGGAAACATAAAATGGAAATAAATGCCTTTGTGGAGAATTCCTTCAGGAATTATCTTGCCCAAGAGTTTTAACAGAGCTTGATGGATTGTGGAATGTAAGATGAAATCATTAAGAGTTTAAAGTGATTGGTTTTTTGTTCTTGCGATAGTTTACTGAGAATGATGATTTCCAATTTCATCCATGTCCCTACAAAGGACATGAACTCATCCTTTTTTATGGCTGCATAGTATTCCATGGTGTATATGTGCCACATTTTCTTAATCCAGTCTATCATTGTTGGACATTTGGGTTGGTTCCAAGTCTTTGCTATTGTGAATAATGCCGCAATAAACATACGTGTGCATGTGTCTTTATAGCAGCATGATTTATTCTCACTCATAGGTGGGAACTGAACAATGAGATCACATGGACACAGGAAGGGGAATATCACACTCTGGGGACTGTGGTGGGGTGGGGGGAGGGGGGAGGGATAGCATTGGGATATATACCTAATGCTAGATGACGAGTTAGTGGGTGCAGCGCACCAGCATGGCACATGTATACATATGTAACTAACCTGCACAATGTGCACATGTACCCTAAAACTTAAAGTATAATAAAAAAAAAAAAGAAAAAAAAAAAGAGTTTAAAGTGAAAGGACTCCACTGAAGAGATTCAGCTCCGGCTCTGGTGAATTATCAAAAAGTGTGGGCTTTCATAGTGATCTTCTATGATTCAAGGGATCCATCCATGAGAAGTCCCTGGGCACCTGAAATGTGAATTACTGCCTGTAACTAGGATGACTTGGCATGGCAATTTGGAAAAGTCAGGCTATGTAATGGAACTAGCTGCTTTCGAGTTCTGCAATGTAGATTACAAATAACTGGAGCACATTAGAGCCTGAAAAAGCCCTTTGGAAGCCTGAGAATAGGCTCAAGTGGGTAGAAGGAGGTGAAGAACAGTTCCTGGAACTGCATAAACTCTCAGCAATATTTGCTACTTTTGCATAAAATAAAATCTAACCTGAGGCAGGGCGCAGTGGCTCATGCCTCTAAGCCCAGCACTTCGGGAGGCCGAGATGGGCAGATCACCTGAGGTCAGGAATTCGAGACCAGCCTGGCCAACATAGTGAAACCCCGTCTCTACTAAAAATACAAAAATTAGCGGGGCGTTGTGGCACGCACCTGTAGTCTCAGCTACTTGGGAGACAGAGGCAGGAGAATCGCTTGAACCCAGGAGGTGGAGGTTGCCGTGAGCCGAGATCGTGCTACTGCACACCAGCCTATGCGACAGAGCGAGACTCCATCAAAAAAAAAAAAAAAAAAAAACCTAACCTGAGTACAGTGTCACCTTGGTAGCAATGGGGAAGATAATGGACGCCTAGGCAACAGGCAACAGCTTCTATCAGGCACTGAGCTAGAGACCTGTCTCAGCCTAGGACTCACCAGTAGCTGAAGAGCTGCAGGACCACCTGAGACCTAAGGGGGAGGAGGAGCCTATGAGAAGGTGGAAATGACTGAGTGGTATCCTGCCTCTCAGAAAAAGCACCAACTACGCACAACTAAAGCCCACCTGGTACTTTAACACTACAATCTCATTGGCATATATAGAACAATTGAACAAACAACAGCAGAATACACATTTTTCCAGAATCCATGAAATATTCACCCAGATAGAATATATTTTCAATCATTAAACATACCTTTTCAAGCTTAAGATAATTGAAATCATACAGAGAATGTTGCCTGCTCATAATAAAATCTAACTAGAAATCAGTATCAGAATGAAAACAAGAAATTTTCTAAACATAGAGATTAATAAACATACATCCAAATAATCTCTAGGAAAAGGAAATGATCCCAAAGTAAAATAAAAATTACACACCACTGAATGATAACGAAACTCGAAAGTATTATGATAAATGTTAATGCAACTAAAGCAACAATGAAAGGAAAATTCATAGCATGATATGTTTAGATTGAAAAATAAAAGGTTCCAAATCAATAATCTAAGTTTTTTCCTCAAAAAATTAGAATAAGTTGAGCAAAATAAACAAAAAGCAAACATAAGGAAATAAATAATACAGACAAGAAATTATTCATATCTAAAACAGAAAAACAATAGAGAAATGAAACACAAAGCTGTTTCTTTGAAAAATTTGGACAAAATTTAAAAGCCTCTAACAAAGCTGGCAAAATGAAACACCGACACACACACACACACACACACACACACACACACCCAATATCAGGGTTGAAAATGAGAATATCACTAAAGATCCTGCAGCCATTTAAACGACTATAAACAAATATTGCAAAAAAATTTACACTCATAAATTCAATGACTTAGAATAAATGGATCAATTTCTCAAAAACTGTATCAATATCAATACCCTGCTTGTAATACTGTACTATAGCTTTGCCAGATTTTAACATTTGGGAAAACTAAACTATGAACAGAATTTCTCTGTATTATTTCTTACAATAGCATGTGAATCCATACTCATCACATCACCCCCCCGAATATTTACTTTTTAAGAGAAACCTTTTTTTTTTTTTTTTGGAGACGGAGTCTCGCTCTCACCCAGGCTGGAGTGCAGTGGTGCGATCTGGGCTCACTGCAAGCTCCGCCTCCCAGGTTCACGCCATTCTCCTGCCTCAGCCTCCCGAGTAGCTGGGACTACAGGCACCCGCTACCATGCCTGGCTAATTTTTTTGTATTTTTAGTAGAGACGGGGTTTCACCATGTTAGCCAGGATGGTCTCGATCTCCTGACCTCGTGATCCGCCCGCCTCGGCCTCCCAAAGTGCTGGGATTACAGGCGTGAGCCACCGCGCCCGGCCAGAGAAATCTTTTTTAAAAAGACTTGAAAGGTAAGGGAGATTCAAAATGAGAATCTCCATTGCTGCCTTTGAAGGTGGTGGGAGCCACATAGCAAGGACTTGCTAATGGCCTCTAAGAGCTGAGGGTAAACCTCGGCCAACAGCCAGCAAGAAAACAGTGACCTCAGTTCTATAGTCACAAGGAACTGAATTCTACTAACTACCTAAATGAGCTTGGAAGTGGGTTCTTCCTTAGTCCCCTAGATGAGAATACCACCGATTTCAGGCCTATAAGACCTTGAAGAGAGATCTAGTAAAACCTTGCCAGTATTCTGACCTATAACACTGTAAATTAATAAAGAGATGTTGTTTTAAGCCATTAAGTTTGTGATAATTCCATATGCGAGAATAGAAGACTAATACAACTTCTCACCTAGGATCTTTCCTGTGTCTAGGCAAAGAGTAAATTTGAGTCCTAGTCAAGTAAATGGCTCAATGTCTTGGTTCTAGGTGTACTCTGACCTTATTATTGTGATGGTACTGCAGAAAATGCAGTTCTTGACTTTTGACTTAATTTTTTTCATTCACTCTTTTCATTTGTTCATTCTTTCTTTCCTTTTTCTTTTTCTTTTCTTTTTTTTTTTTTTTTTTTTTTTTTTGTAGAGAATGGGTTTCGCCATGTTGACCAGGCTGGTCTGGAATTCCTGGATCCGCTTGTGTTGGCCTGCCAAAGTGCTGGGATTACAGGCCTGAGCCACCACATCCAGCCTAAATTCTTGAACTTTGAGAATTATTTTCCACTAGAATAGAATCCGTTCCTAATTCCTAATGTTGAAGGTCCAAGTAGACAATGTCCTTCCCATGTAAACATTCACTAATATCTCCTCTCTCTGACCTTACTTCACATAAACCTATCCAACCTTATCAGTGTATGCTACTCGTATCAAAATTCTGATTGAATACCCTGGCTTTCAAATTATGGAGCCTGCTATATTTTGCTTTAAAGCAATTGTTGAGTATTATAATGACCCCCAAATCATATCTACCCTTCTAAATACAAAAAGTAGAGAATATTTGTACCTGAATCTTCAAGCACCATCTAATCTTTGTTTATTATGTTAAAATCTATCAGTTTAAATCTATAGCATTGATTCTACTAGTAATTTTAAGCCTATTTCCTTCTTAAGAATTTTCTTATATTTTATTTTTTTAATTTTATTTATTCATTTATTATTTTTAAATTTATATTTATTTATGTTGACCTAATTACAAAATACTAAACCTTATCTGATTAATAAATTCTTTCTGAAAGAAATTATAGATCATGGATAGGGTGTTTGATAGCAATGTAAAATACATTCTTTTTGGCTAACCATGATTAAAAAAAAAGTATGTCCTACATCTTCCACAAAAAAAATAAATATAGAGATTTTGCCATAGTTGCTGTAAAACTTGACTGCCTACCAATATGAACATTATTAGCCCTGTACATACTTGCAGTTTTACAAAGAAATGAGATGTCTCTCTTGAGTAATGTTACCTTATATAAATTTCCTTTTATTTCTTCTGTATCTTTATCTTCAAAATATTCTTTAAAATAAGTAACCAAGCATTTTACATGTTTCCAATGTATGAGAGGGCAGTGTTTGTATCCCTTCCATGAGAAGTTTTCTGGTTTGAGTCTTTGAATGGAAATCTGACTTGTATTGTTTTTCTGTCACTTCATTTAAGATTTGAAAGTTCTTTCTTATCTCAGACCTTTTCATCATGGAACAATAAGAGAATCTCTTTTGTGTGACACTTGAGACTCCCTTTTTAGTCATTAAACAGTGTCTTTAACATCACTTCAAAATCTTTGGATGCTTGGACAGCATTTGCAGAAAATTCATTTTTCCCTCATCCATCATTCTTCCAGGACTGAGACTATTCATCAGCCAACTGTGAGTTTTGGGTTTTCCATTCTGACATCACTAGTCATGAAGAAGCAACCAACCCCTGTCCTTGTTGTCATCTATTAGGATAATGTATTTCTTTTTTTAGTAGCACTTGTGACTACCTAAAGTAGATTTATTATTTATCTTGTGCTTGTTTCTTTTGCCACTCTGACCTCAAAATAAAAGTTCCAAAACACTCTTTTGTTGTTGTAACGAATACTACAATTCTAAAGACTAGCCCAGCTTATTGCATACAGTATATATTCAATTATTACATGTCAAATGAGTAAAAATTCTTCCGTAGAAACTTTTTGGTTCTGTTTCAGAATGTTTGGCTGATGTCAGCATATATACTTATTTTTACCCTTTACTCTCTAAAGAAAATTCAGTTTCATATTATTACCTAGCATTCTGGATTTGATCTACTTCAGCCTATACTTCTCTTACTTAGTTAACATATTTGCATGGTATCTCTTGCCTGTTAAGTTAAAATATCTGCCAAATTGATTCCAAACTAGTAGTTCCTGCATTCAACACTTATAATCCTTACTGAGAATATGGCAGGCCAGCTGCTGGATGCTAGGGATGGAGTTAGGAACTGGAGTGTTTATCATGAAGAAATGGGTTGAATTTTAACGAAGGAAGTGAATAAACATATAATGACCCTCTGTGTGATAGATGCCCTGATAGAGATTCAGACACACCGTGTAATGGAATGATGTTGAAAGAGTGGTTCACAGTAATAAAAGGTCAAATCTCCCTAAATTTAGATGATACCTGAAATGTATCTTATAGGACTAGTAGCAACTAGGTAATGGAATGAGGACATGAATTTTATTCTAAACCAAGTGAACAATGCACGCCACAGTAGAGATGCATATTCAGGGAGCAGTAAACAAAACACTTTGACTCAATCATCATAGTCTGGGGTAGGAGAGGAAGAGGTCTGAATACTTTAGCAAAAGATGAAGAGATGAGGCCACAGAGGTAATAAGTGGCCTTGTCTATCATGCTAAAGGGCTGAATTAGATCTTCTACACAATGCATAGCCCATGTGATTTTAGTAATAGGAATAAAAAGATTCGATTTTTGCAATTACCATACTAGAGCAGAGGTGTGAAAAATAGATTGTAGCCAAGTTAATTGTCCCACTTATGGAGTGGTGGCATTAATTAGATGAAAAATATATAAAGTCTTGAAATAAGGCTGTGGTAGTTGGGATGTGTATTGTATGGAAACAGATTTAAGAAATAATAAAGAAGCAGGGTCAAGCAAATTTGGTGACTGCTTGGATGATTTAAAGATAACCCCAAATGTATGATTTAGGTGACTGTATGGATTGTGGGAGGCTCCACTATCATAACAAATTGAGCACACTTGGTTTGTCACAGTAGAGACAGAGATGTTAATTCAGCTGGGATCTCTGAGATTGGAGATTCAGAATCAGGTTGAGTGTCAATGTCTATCTAGCTATGAGGAAACATCAAGTATGCTTATAAAATTAGAATAAAGATGCTAATTGAAATCAAAGAAGTAGAAAATATTGCCTGTACAAGTATGTTCAGTGGTAATAGAGGAGGAAAATGGATACAATCCCTTGGAACAGGAGCAATTACAAGGTAGACAGAGGGAAAGGAAAGAGAAAAGATAACCAAGATAGGAAACAAAAGAGGAGAGAGAAAAGCTCAATAATGTAACATAAGCCTCCCAAAATAGAATACTTTCAGAAGAAGAGGACGTCAAGAGTCCACTGAAAGAAATTTCTTTAGCTTAAAAATAGTTAAATATCTTTTAAAAAATTAAAACACTCTATTGGAAACATGATTTTAAATAAATGCCTAGAATTCTGCTATATGGCTATAAATCCCATTTATTAGAAATTAGAATACAGTTGAACATTTAATGTTTATTTATTTTTGCTGTCTTACACACCACTGAAGAAATCCTTGTGGATATGTACATATATTCTCTGAAAAGAAATTTACAGTTGTAAATATTACCAAGTAAAAAGCTATCAACTGTTTCAAGGCTTTTGATATACAGGCCAGAATGTCAAAAGAAATTAACAATTTACTTTCACTCCAACAATTTTCAAGGTTTTCCAAGCAGTATGTTATTACCAATGTTGTCTTTTATATCACAGCAAACAACAAAGGCAATAGCACACATGTATCAAAATATCCCACGTCACCCAATAAAATTCACAATTAATTATAAACAAAATAAAATTTTAAAAAGCAATTTTCAACTACTCCAAAAAGAAATATTTATCAAAATAATAGACAAAATATTTATTGCTTTAATTTTAATTTATTTGATTTGTAGTGAGGCTAAATTTGTCAAATCACAATTGAAACTGGTCAATTTCCTGGTTGTTACTTGCCATCTTTTAAAATGGCGTGATAGTTTTTTTCTTATTTTGTAATAAATCATATCAATTTTAAATATGTATCTATACTTATGTATTTTATATCTACACTCAAAATATAATATATAGATATTGTTATTACCTTGTCAAAAAGCTTGCTTGTGTGTTGTAGTTTGTTATCTGCCTTTATAATTTTATAATTCTGTTAATTTCCTGTGAGTAATACAACACAATGTTAAATCTATTATTTTTTCATGACTATTTCTTCTCTTGCTTATATACATAAAATAGACATAAAAGGTAATTCATCATTTAGAAATTTGATAAATAAATGAATATTTTATCTAATTTAGGAATTAGATAAAAATTTAATTTTTAAAATTTATATAATATTTTTATTTAACTCTTTAATCCTTCTGAAATGTATGTATTGATTCTCAGGTAGAAATTCCCTAGTTAACATGGTATAGTATTGAGACTCATATCTAGCACCCTCTTAATGCTTCTAATTAAATAGTAATTCTACCAATGTTCTAATATTAAATGTAAAATTGCTAATTTGTTTAAAGAAGATACTCTCCATTATGTTAAAAAAAGTGTTACTATAGAAAGATATCAGAAATTACAGAAATAAATGGAAAATCATTCTATGCTTATGGACTGAAAGAATCAATATCGCTCAAAGCAATTTATAGATTCTAGGCTATTCCAATCAACCTACCAACATCATTCTTCACAGAACTAGAAAAAAAAAGATTCTAAAATGTATATAGAACCAAAAAAAGGGCACTAATAGCAATCCTAAGCAAAAAGAACAAAGCCAGGAGCATCACACTATCGGGCTTTAAAGCTACAATAACCAAAATGGCATGGTGCAGACACAAAAACAAACACATAGACCAACAAAACAGAACAGAAAACTCAGAAATAAAGCCAAATACATACAACCACCTTGTCTTCGATGAGGCCAACAAAAACAAGCAATGGGGAAAGGACTTCCTATTCAGTATATGGTGCTGTGATAGCTGTCTAGCCATACGCAGAAAAATGAAACTTGATTCTTATACCTCTTATCATACACAAAAATTAACTCAAGATAGATTAAAGATTTAAATGTAAGACCTCAAACTATAAAAATCCTAGAAGAAAACCTAGGAAATGCCCTTCTCAACACTGGCCTTGGCAAAGAATTTTTGGCTAAGTCCCCAAAAGCAACGGCAATAAAAACAAAAATTGACAAGTGGGACCTAGTTAAACTAAAGAACTTCTGCACAGCAGAAGACAGTATCAACAGAGTAAACAGATAACCTACAGAATCAGAGAAAACATTTGCAAACTATGAATCCAACTAAGGTCTGAGATCTAGAATCTATAGGGAACTTAAACCAACAAGCAAAAACAAAGAACTGCATTGAAAAATGGTCAAAGAACATGAAAAAACGCTTCTCAAGAGGACATACAAGCAGCCAACAGAAGCAAATCAAAACCACAATGAGATACCATTGCACACTAGTCAGAATGACTATTACTAAAAAGTCAAAAAACAACAGATGCTGGTGAGGCTACAGAGAAAAGGGAATGCTTATATACAATTGCTGGGGATGTAAACTAGTTCAGTCACTGTGGAAAGCAGTTTGGTGATTTCTCAAAGAATTTAAAACAGAGCTACTGTTCAACCCAGCAATCCCATTACTAGGCATATATCCAAAGGAAACTAGATCATTATGCCAAAAAAAAAACCACATATGCACTCATATGTTCATCACAGCAGTATTCACAATAGCAAAGACATGGAATCAACCTTGGTGTTCGTCCATGGTGGACTGGATAAAGAAAATGTGGTACACGTACCATGGGATACTACAGAGCGATAAAAAATGAAATCATGTCCTTTGCAGCAACATGAATGGAGCTGGATGTCATAATCTTAAGTGAACTAATGCAGGAACAGAAATCCAAATACCCCACGTTTTCACTTATAAGTGGGAGCTGAACATTGAGCACACACGGACATAAATATGGGAAGAGTAGGTACTGTGGACTACTAGAAGCAGGAGGGAGAGAGAGGAGTAAAGCATGGGTTGATAAATTAATTATTAGGAAGGGGGCAATATGCCCTGTGACAAACCTACACATGTACCCCCGTATCTAAAACAAATTATGTAATTTGTAAAAAATTATATATTCCAAAGGAAAAAAGATGTCAGTCATTTACAGCTTAAGACTGGAAACTGATGTTAAATTTTGCAAAAATGACTGTTGGGAATGTATTATGGCTGATTAAATTATTAGCAGTATTATTTTTGTTGCTCCTGAATTAGTAGAATAAACCTTGTTTGGGTTTGTTTTTCTACAGTTTCAAATTGGCCTCCAGTTTTAATTAATGTATTAGGTGCTAATGTCAGAATTTTCTTCTTTCTGTAAAATAAATTTGAATTTTTTCCCAAAAATCTCAGTTGTAATTTTTATGATTTGAGAATTATTTGTTCTTTGACCATTATTTATTTCTTACTTATTAAGGAAAACACTATATTCAGAGTTGTTTGTATTTATTTATTGGATCATTTATCAGTCTCTTTCATGATGGTTTTCAACTTTCTTTGGTTGTCTCCTTGAGGAGCTTAACAATCAACCTTCTGAATTCTTTTTCTTGTGTTTCAATGACTTTATCTTGGTTGGATTCCATTAACTGGAGAGGTAGTATGATATTTTGGGGGTGTTATAGAACCATGATTTTTCATATTACTAGTGTCACTTTTCTGGTTCCTCCTCATTTGGGTAGAGTATTTCTTCTAATTATTCTTAAATTTATGTTTGATTTGACTTTAAAAAAATTTTTCCCCTTAAGGATGTGACTTTAATGCTTATAGTTAATTATACCCTAATTCAATTCTTGGTGCTTTCATGAGTGAATACTGAGTAAGAATTCCTAGGTTATAGAGCATCTTTGTATGATAGCTTTCTCACATGCTGGTTGTAGTAGCAATGTGCTTGCTGTGTGAGCAAGTTCACTTTCTCCTACGGGGTTGGAATGGTAGAGGTCTCCTGAAGGTTATCTCATTCCCTTGTGGCATGTACTTTTTAAATTTATTTTTTTTTCAGCATTTTACTTACTGCTTTGATGGTTCAGGCATTAGGTCAGTAGGGGAGGTGTCCCTGGGTAGGAACAGGTTGTGGGTAAAGTAGATGGGTAAATTCAATAGCCAGTGGTGGGCAAAGGTAACAGCATTGATAGAAGTGGCTGGGGGAGCTCTCAGTGAGTCTCTCTGAGTTCTCATCAGAGGGAAGGGTTGGAGCCACCTCAGCTCCCCTGCCAAGTCAGCAGGAAAGCTATTCACCTCTCAGACATATTGCTGTCCCAGTGGTCTGGCTATGTAGATCTGACGGGCACCATTTTTCATCTGTAGAAAAGTTAATGTTCCAAGCAGAGAGAAATTATGACTCTGTCTCTTGTGCAAACCTGAACGTGGAGGATGCTCCTCTTGAGGAGATGCAGTTACCCAGAAGTTCTCCAGAAAGGTTGTTAATAGCTGTAGCCATGCTGAGCTCCTGTGGGAGAAGCCCTGATATGGTTTGGCTGTGTCCCCACTCAAATCCCATCTTGAATTACAGCTCTCACAATTCCCAAGTGTCACGGGAGGGACCCAGTGGGAGGTAATTGAATCACGGGGGTGGGCATTTCCCATGCTGTTCTCGTGATAGTGAATAAGTCTCATGAGATCTGATGGTTTTATAAAGAGGAGTTCCCCTGAACAAGTTCTCTGTTCCATGCCATCATATAAGATGTGACTTGCTCCTCCTTGGCTTCCACCATGATTGTGAGGTCTCCCCAGCCATGTGGAATGGTGAGTCAATTAAACATCTTTTCTTTATAAATTATCCAGGTATGTCTTTATCAGAAACATGAAAGCAGATTAATACAAGCCGCAACTCTGCCTGTGTTGTTGATGAAAGAGTGGGGAAAGACATCCCTTCTCCAAGACCCTTCACGTGCACCAGGGCTGTCTGATTGTTCATCACTGCAACAGTGCCTCTGCTGAAATATATTTCCCACCAGTGGAAAGATCTGGTGCTCAAGGCTTTCCATCTAATTATTTTTTGTCCCAGTGGGGTGTTCCCTTGATGTGGTGCACTACCCCTTACCCTGGGAGTGGGAGTCCCTGGGAACCAGACTACTGTGAATTTTGTGGCTCCTCTGGGTCTAGCTATCTAGTGAAGTTGCCCCACTCCAGATTGATGCTGAGGAATGTCTGTAAGGGATCCGGTGATGTGAGCTTTCCTCATGTCTCCCAGTGGTGAATAGCCTCCCAGTGGTTATACACAGCCTTAGAGTGTTGGCTTTTTCAAACACCAGTTATAGCAACAATGAAATAGTCATGTGGACGGACTCAGGACCTCCTGGTTAGCCAGAGTTGTGTAAGCAGTTGTGATAGCTGAGGTCACGCAGTTGTTTTCTCCTGCCTGTGTGCAGTGTTATTCCACCAGAAGATGCTGTAATGGACTGTGTTGGTTGATCTTCAGCCAGGAGGTGACACTTACAAAAGAGCACCAGCTGTGCTATTAGTAGTGGGGTTTTTCTTGCCTTGTGCTTCCCAGGGGTGGGGTACTCTGGTTTATTAGGCAATTGGCAGGACCATATCACTCCCCAAAGTTCCTTTGTGTTAAGCTACCAGGGCAAACGTCAGGGCAAAGTCAGGTGAGGGCTGGGTCAGGCGGGTTTGCACTCTGACCCTCTGTGTTCAGAACAAGCACCAGCCCTTGCGGGTGTTTGGGAAATGGAAGCAGTTCCCAGGCCACTTGGATGATGTCCAGAGGGGAGTGTTTCTCCCTCTGCTGCACAGAAGAGTTCATGCAGGGAGTGGGGAGTAGCAGGAGGAGGTAAGTCCCTCACAGATCCCACACACTACGTGAGGCATATCTACTTCTGCAGTGTTCCACTGGCAGCAATGAGCTAAGTTTCAGGTCAGTCTGCACTCAAAACTTGCAACTGTCCCAGGTCATAAGCTATACATGTGGAAATAGCAACTGTGGCATTCAGGCCATGCCCCTCCCTGTCTGCCCTGCAAAGCTAGGTGCCTGGCTCCTGCACTCGTGGCTGCAGCCCACTTTTTGCTCACCACCCCCATTATCTCCACCAAAGGTTATATCATGAAACCCGGTTGAAGGCTTCTTTCAACCTGCAACCACAGCCTGAACTATTTATTTGGCTGAACTCCGCAAGGTCAACTGTGAGGAACAATAAGGAACGGTTTCCCTCAGTCCACGCTAGAGATTGGTAGTGCACGCAAGGGTCTTCGCGCTGCTGCTCCTACTTTTATATTCCATGACCCTACTCAAGTCAGTTCCTGTGCTGGGTAGGGTTCGTGCCTTCTTCCACGGCCTGGAATTGTAGGATCTCCAGTGAGAATGTATATCCCGGAGGCAGTTTCACCCCCTCTCACACACCCTGACTACTTGTAGCCCCTCTGATTCACAGTGTAGGCAGCAGGCTGCTGTTTCCTTCAAAGGGTCTGTAAATGCCTTTGGTTTTCCTGTTCAGTTCCTGCATTTCTTCTTGAAAAAATGTTCATAGTGTGAACCCCACCCCTGGGAAGCATAAGGAAATACACACCATTTTGTCCTTTCAAGTGGGAGAGGTATGCTAGCAATGTCTGTAATCTGCAATCTTGGAAAAAAAAGAATTACTTTTCATACAGTATCATTTTAACTTGTTATGGATATAATGTTTTATCATATTTTTCTAATATGAATTTTCTAGCTCTTTTCTATTTCCTGAATATGCTTGTTTCTCCCAGGATTTGTTTCACTGGGTTTTTAAAATATTTATCTTATTCTCTTTTGTGTCACACCTCTCTCAAATATTTCAGTAAACACTTATGGAGCACCTACTCTGGGCAGGCCAGTATTCTGAGTGCAACAATAATGTAGTGAAAAATACAAAATCTTTGCTTTCTATGAAGTTACATTCTTCTTGACATCTAACAATGTTTTGTTTTGTATTCACAGTCAAGGATGAGAACCATGAGCTCTGATTATGTGGTTAGAGTTTGGCTTCTGAAATGCTTACTTTTCCTATGAAAATAGTGGAGATCTGCCACTACTCTGAATATCTACAAATGTTGAAAGAATGAGGTTTTGTTCTGAGGACCTAACAACCACCCTAAGCATTGTAGTTCTACCTGGAGATAGTGTTTTCATTTCTAAAAAAAAAAAAAAAAAAAAAAACAACCCTTTAAAAATAAGCATTGGTAAATGAATAGTTAAATGTCATTCTGTCAGGAATTTTGCTTGAGAGAAAAGCTATAAAGGTTAAGTGAGTGACTCTGTTACACATAGACTTTCAGTCTACTTCTCCCTCTTGACATCCTGAGCTATTCAGACCTTCTTTTGGGCAGATATACATCGCCGAAGCTGTAGCCCTTTCCTTGTATATTTTAGGAGGGGTTTCTTTTTCTTTCAAATTTCAGAATTATTTATCTTCAGAGGCAAAGGTAATGGCTGTGTATGACCAGCCAACAAACATCTTGAACCAGTGCCTACTTTTTTTGTATTTTTTAAAAATCCAATATAAATTAATTTTATAATTCAGCAATAGGGAGTTTCAGAGGTTTCATTTTTTCATTTTTTTCTTTTCTTTTATTTATTTATTTATTTATTTATTTATTTATTTACTTATTTATTGAGACAGGATCTCACTCTATCACCCAGGCTGGAGTGCAGTAGAGTGATCACAGCTCACTGCAGCCAGGACCTCATGAGCTCAAACAATCTCATGTAGCTGGGACTACAGGTGCACACCATCACACTGTGCTAATTTCTTTATTTTTTGTAGAGACAGGTTACCGTCATGTTTCCCAGGCTGGTCTCAAACACCTGGGCTCAAGCAATCTACCTGCTTTGGCCTCCCAAAGTGCTGGGATTACAGGTGTGACCCAACATGACCGGCTGACTTTCAGAGTTTTTAAACTTGAAAAAGGATATACCCATCACTTCATTTTTATGACAAAAGTCACTTATTTAAATCTTAGGCACTTGTTACTATGATAATTGTATTAATCAAAAGGTTTATTATTCAGAAATTATAATTTTAGCGAACTCTTTACAAATTATTTAAAAATCAAAATGAATTTAGTGACTCATAATACTCCAAAGTTTGGGGGCAGTGCTGATAGCTTCAGATGCAGGTGTGTGAATACAAAAGTGAATAGAAAGTGTTTTCTTTGACTTAGATGTTTTCCTCTCTGAAGGTTGTTTTTCTTTTTAAGTCGTTATCCAAAGGATGAGAATGATAAATGACTAATATCCACTCTACTTTTATACATTAACAATTCACTGAACATACTGAAAGAGAGAGCCTTCATCCAAAATACTGACTTAGTTTGGAATTTCTTTTCAAACCTGAAGGGTAAGAAACACTAATGTGCCAGGTCTTAGTCACATGTGCAACATTAAAATATGGAGGTGGGATCCCCCCAAACCAAACCAGATGGACATGTGGGCGAATCATGAAAGGTAGCAATATAGGTCCTCTAACAAATATGGTTCTTTTTTTTGTTTTTCACTCTCTTCTTGAATGAATTCTGATAATATATATTTTACTAGAAAATGATCCATTTCATCCAGGGGTTTGGATTTTTATAGTGTATTTATGTTCAACACATTATGCTAAAATCAATGTATTTACTCCTATATTTTTTGTTTCCTCTCTCGTTCCCACATCTTATATTTTGTCTTTCCCTCTTTTTTTCAATTAGACTAATGATAGTATATAATCTCCATCTTAGGGTTTGATCAGAGAAGTAGAACCACAATAGGAATATATTTTAGAAATTAGAGCTGGTATGATAGTGGGGATTTGTTAAACAGTTTATGTAAGTCCATTGCCCCAGCGTGTGGTGCTGACACAGAAGTTAGCAGGGCCAGCAGTCAGGAAGGAGAGATGGTTTGAAATGGAGACATAAGGATAACCTGGAACCTGCAAAGATGAGCTGCAATCCATTTAATGAACTAAATCCAACAACACATTAAAAGGATTATATACCATGACTGTGATCAATATATATTTAATCTTTGTTCCCACTTCCTGGCACACAGCTCCTAAAAAAATCCTTGTAATCTCCATAGTAATGAGTGACTGGCTGAGTGCGGTGGCTCACGCCTGTAATCCCAGCATCCCAGCATTTTGGGAGGCCCAGGTGGGTGGATCACCTGAGGTCAGGAGTTCGAAACCAGTCTGACCAACATAGTGGAACCCCATAATCCCAGCACTTTGGGAGGCTGAGATGGGCAGATCACGAGGTCAGGAGAGCGAGACCATCCTGGCTAACATGGTGAAACCCCGTCTCTACTAAAAATACAAAAAATTAGACAGGCGTGGTGGTGGGTGCCTGTAGTCCCAGCTACTCGGGAGGCTGAGGCAGGAGAATGGCGTGAACCTGGGAGGCGGAGCTTGCAGGGAGCCGGGGTCGTGCCACTGCACTCCAGCCTGGGCGACAGAGCAAGACTCTGTCTCAAAAAAAAAAAAAAAATACAAAATACAAAAACTAGCTGGGTGTGGTGATGCATGCCTGTAATCCCAACTACTCAGGAGGCTGAAGCAGGAGAATTGCTTGAATCTGGGAGGCAGAGGCTGCAGTGAGCTGAGATTATGCCATTGCGCTCCAGCCTGGGCAACAAGAGCGAAACTCCATCTCAAAAAGCAAACAAACAAAAAACAAATAAAAGACTGACTTACGTATGCTAGTAAGATGATTAGTGGCTAGGAGCCCCTAGTTAGCTTCAGGGTGAGTGCTGGTCACAAGAAAGACCAAGGCATAATTAAAGGGTTGAAACTTTAAGCCCCACTGTGTGATCGTCTCAGAAGAGAGGATTGGAGATTGAGTTAACTACAAATGGCCAGTGATTTAATCACTCATGCCTACCTAATGGAAACTCTATAAAATGACAATGTTGAGAGAGCTTCCCGGTTGGTGTACATTAAGATGTTGAGAGGGTGGCATATGCAGAGAGGGTGTGGAAGCTCTGTGTAACCCTCCTCTCTGATACTTTGTCCTATGCATCTCTTCCATTTGGTGTTCTTAAGTTGTATCTTTTATAATAAACTGGAAATAGTAAGTAAAAACACTTTCCTGAGTTCTGTGAGCCACTCTAGCAAATTGTTTAACGTGAGGATGGGATTGTGGAAACCCCCATCACAACTTCATAGCCAGTTCAAAAATACAGGTGGCCAGGACTCGCAGTTGGCATCTTCAGTGGGAGCAGTGTTGTGAAACTAAGCTCATAAACTTGTGGAGTTTATGCTAACTCCAGGTAGTGTGTTAGAATTAAATGGAATTGTAGGACACAGATATGGTTTGGATTTGTGTCCCTGCCCAAATCTCATGTCAAATTGTAATACCCAGTGTTGGAGGAGGGGCCTGGTGGGAGGTGACTGGCTCATGGGGGCAGATTCCTCCCTTGCAGTTCTCATGAAAGTGAGTGAGTTTTCACTAGATCCGGTTGCTTAAAAGTGTGTAGCACTTCCCCATTCTCTCTCTTCCTTCTTCTCCGACCATGTAAGATGTGCCTGCTTTCCCTTCACCTTCTGCCATGATTGTGTTTCCTGATCCCTCCCCAGCCATGCTTCCTATACAATCTGCAGGACTGTGTGTCAATTAAACCTCTTTTCTTTATAAATTACCCAGTCTCAGGTAATTCTTTACAGCAATGCGAGAATGGACTAATACAGACACCAAGTTGATAACCAAAGAGTTGGAAAATTGTTTGCTCTGGGGGAAAAAACCCCACACATTTGGTGAGAGAAGTATTACAAGTAAAAATAGATCAATGATCAGGTGGGGTTTATTCCTGGGATGCAAGGGTAATTGAATATACAAAGTCAATCAATGCAATATGCCAAATTAATAGAAGGAAGAACAAAAGCCACACAATCACCTTAAATGATCCTGAAAAATATTTGACAAATTTCAACACACTTTCATGATAAAAAGAGCTAACAAAATAGGAATAGAAGGGAATTTTCTAAATATAATGAAGGCCAAATGTGAAAAGCCCACAGCTTTGATAACATAACATGATCTTATATGTAAAAAACCCTAAAGATTTCACAAAAAAGTAGAACTAATAAATAAATTAAATAAAGCTGCAGGATACAAAATCAACACACAAAAATCACTTGCATTTCTATATGTTGACAAGTAATAATATGAAAAGGAAATTTTAAAAATTCCCATTTACAGTAGCATCAAATAGAATAAAATACTTAGTATAAACTTTACTGAAGAGGTAGAAAGGCTGATAAGCTGAACACTGTAAAACAGTGATGAAATAAACTAAGGAATATATAAATACATGGAAACAGATTTCTTATGAATTGGAAGACTTAATATTGTCAAAATGTCCTTACTACCCAAAGAGACCTACAGATTCAATGGGATTCTTATCAAAATCCCAATGGCATTTTTTGCAAAAATAGAAAAGAAATTCTAAAATGTATATGAATTCTCATTGAATCCCAAATAGCCAAAATTATCTTGAGAAAGAAAAACAAACTGGAGGCCTCATACATCCAAATTTCAAAACATATTACAAAGCTACTGTAATCAAAACACAATGGAACTGGCATAAAGACAGAGATATAGACCAAAGCACAGAATAGAGTTCAAGAATAAACTGTCATGTATATGGTCAAATTATCCTTGGCAAAGGTGCCTAGTACACAATGGAAAAAGCAAAATTTCTTCAACAAATGATCCTGGAAAAACTGGACATCCACATGAAGAATAATGAACTGTGACTCTTACCTTTTACCATATATAGAAATTAACTCAAAATGGATTAACAAGCCAAATGTAAGGGCCAAAACTATAAAACTGTTACAAATAAACATGGAAAAGGCTTTATGACTCTGAACTTGGCAATGTTTTCTTGAATAAAACACCAAAAGTACAGGCATCAAACACAGAACTACACAAATGAGACTATATCAAACTTGAAAACTTCTCCATAACAAAGGAAACAATCAACAGAGTAAAAAGGCAACCTATGGAATGAGAGAAAGTATTTGCAAATCCATATATCTGATAAGAGGTTAATATCTAGAATGTATCAAGAACTCTTACAACTCAACAAAGAAAATTAAATAATCCAGTATAAAAATGGACAAAGGACTTGACATTTCTCCCAAGATAATATACAAATGACCAACAATATATGAAAAGATGCTCAACATCACTAACCATCAGGGAAATGCAAAATGAAACTAAAGGGGATATCACTGCACACCTATTAGGATGGCCACTATCAAAAAATCCTCACGTTTGTGAGGATAGGGATAAATTGGAACCCTTGTACACTGTTGGTGGGAATGTAAAATGTTGCAACTGCTATGGAAACCATTTTGGAGGGTCCTCAAAAAATAAAAATAGGATCACCACATAATCTAGCAATTCTACTTCTGAGTATATATCCAAAATAATTGAAAACAGGATCTTGGAGAAAGTGCAAGATATTCGACTAGAAGCAGCTAAGGTGCACTTCTCTCAAGGAGAGAAATAGAAGGGGTGAGTAAATACAGCACTTTCAACTGAAGCATTCAGGTACATGCATTGGGATTCATCAAGAAAACAACTCAACCCATGGAGAACAGAGAAAGCAAGGCAGAACGACCTCTCACCCAGGAACAACACGGAGCCAGGGAAGCCTCCCATATAAGGGAAGCGGTGAGTGAGTGAGTGAGTGACCCTGGGGACCAGCATTTCTCCCACGAATCTTTGCAACCCTCAAGTCAGGAGATTTCCTTGTGAACTCCATCCACCAGGGCCTTCAATCTCACATACAGAGATATGAAGTGTCCTAGCAGAGCAGCCGCTCAGGCACATTCAAATCCCTGGGAGCTTTAAATACATGGGCTTCCTGGCAAAAGCAGCTGCAACTCCAGCAAAGTAGGAGGTTAGACCCATATATTACCCCCCTCCCCCCAGAAAATGGGCTGAATCCAGAGGGCTCAGCAGCAACGGTCTGCAGGCCCCACTTCCACAGCACCTTGCAGGATAAGACCCACGGGCTTGGAACTCTAGTCAGCCACAGGTAGCAGCATTACACCTCCCTAAGACAGAGTTGCCAGAGGCAGAGATGGACCACAATCTTTGCTGTTTCATAGCCTTAGCCATTGTTGCCCTCAAGCTCCGGGGAATACAAGGCAACTAGGGACTGGAGCCATCACCCAACATAGCACTGCTACTCTATGAAGGGCTGTCAGACTGCTTTTTCATGTGAGTCCCAAATCCTGTTTCCCTTCAGAGTAGAATATACCGTCTGAGTTCTACAAACACCTGTACTGGTGGTTTCAGACCCTGGCAGCAGGTCCATACCTCCCTGGGATGGGACTTTCAGGGAAAGGGACAGGCTGCCATCTTTGTTGTTTAGCAGCCTTAGACATTGTTGCCCTTAGACTCTGGGGAATCTAAGGTGACCAGGGACTAGACAGATCACTCAAAACAGCACAGCTACTCTACGAAGAGGCAGCCACACTACTTTTCCATGTGGGTCTCAGACCCTGTTTCTCTTCACTAAATGGAATCTTCCAACTGAGGGCTGCAACCACCCCTGCAGGTGTTTTCAGGCCGACAATAGGTCAGTAATTCCCTGGGACGGGACTCCCAGAGGGAGGGATTGGTGACCATCTTTGCTGTTTTGCAACCTTAGCCATTGTTGCCTTCAGGATTTGGAGAATCTGAGGTGACAGGGGCTGGATCAGACACCCAACACAGCACAGCTGCCCTATGAAAAAGCAGCCAGACTGTTTTTTTTATGCAGGCCTCTGATCCTATTCCTCCTCATTGAGTGGAACCTTCCAACCTGGGTTGCCACGTACCCCCATCAGTGTGTTCAGGAGGGAGGGAAACAACTCTGTACCTCCCTGGGAGGGAGCTCCCAGAGAAAGGGGAAGGCCGACAACTTTGCTGTTTCCCAGGCTTCACTGTTGATACCTTCAGGTACTGGAAAATCCTAGGTGATTAGGGACTGAAGCGACCCCCCCAGCATACTGCAGCAACCCTCCAAAAAAAGTGGCCAGACTGTGTTATCTGGGTCCCAGATCCTGTATCTCCTCACAGGGTGGAGTCTGCTGGGCTGAGTCTCCAGCCACCCCACAATGGGGCTATCAAGCCAGTATCAGCTCTGCAACAACCTGGGACAGAGCTCCCAAAGAATGCACTGGGTTGCCATCTTTGCTGTCTCACAGCCCTCACCCTTACTGTCTTCCAGGCTCTGGAGAGCCTGCAGGGAATATGGGCTGTTCCAAACCACCAGCACAGAGCACCCATCTCACAGAAAAGTGGCCAGACTATTCTCCATGCAGGTCCTGGTCTTCACTTCTTCTCACTGGACAGGGCCACCCAACCTGGGACTCCAGCACAACCACCCTGACCCCGCCTGAGCACCTCAATCAGAGGCAGCCCAACATTTCCCAGAGGAGAAATCCCAGATCAACCCACAATCCCCCTGACACTGCAGTTGCACTGGTACTGACCTAACAGCCCTCAGGCTGAGGAAAGAACAAAGGGTCTAGTCACTACCCTGGCACCTCCAGAACACCACAGTAACCGTACAGAGAGGAGTCCAACTCCTCTTTCTTGGAAACCCTCACCCTTACTCTTCAGCAGGCAGGGTCCCCAGCTCATGACTTCAGAACAGTCACCTCACTCACTGTAGAGCATACCCACTGGCAGTGGCCCAGAGTTTCTGTGGGGAGAGGCTCCAAGAGTCATCCAACAGCCCCTCTGCCACTGCCATGGAGGCAGTTCTATTCCTGCTGCCCTTGGTTTGGGGAAGAAACAAAGAGCCTGAGTGACACACCTAAGCTTACAGCATGCAACAGTCATCATATGAAGAGGAGAGCAGTCTCCTCTCCTCCCAGTGAGGTTAGCCCTTGACCCCCTACTCTCTAACAAGTAAGCCCCAATCTCACATCAGCAGTGCAGCTGCCCCACCCCACTGGCTGAACACTC
The DNA here is from genome assembly GCF_000001405.40 of Homo sapiens. Classification (NCBI taxonomy): domain Eukaryota; kingdom Metazoa; phylum Chordata; class Mammalia; order Primates; family Hominidae; genus Homo; species Homo sapiens. The sequence goes on from NC_000023.11 coordinate 34,414,135, forward strand.
CCAGTAATAGCAACTCTGCTTTCCTCAGAGATGGAGCCCCAGGGGCAACCAAATGCCCCTCTGCCACTGCCTCTGCTGTGGTACTACCCTGTAACCCTCAGACTAGCAAAGGGTATTGTCCTATCCACACCTCCAACAAGCTGCCATCAACCCAAGGAGAAGAAGCCAGTCTATCTCCCATAGGTCCCATCCACCCCTTCCCTGCTTGTCATCAGGCAGGAAATCCCAAGCTTGGGCCCACAGCACAGACCCTCCACCCTGGATTGATTGCACTGAGCAATTGCTGGCCTGCATTTCTCTCAGGTGGAGCCCTCAGGAGACAAGTAAAAGACCCTTGGCCACAGCTACTGCTAAGGTCCATTCCTCTGCTGCCTCCAAATTGGGGAGAAAACATAAACCCTGAGGTCATCCCAGAGCTGTGGTAGGCAGCCCAGAAGTGCCAAGCTGTGATCTAAAGCCAGCACTCAACTGGGAGAGGAGCCTACACTTTCAGAGCATTGAGAGGGAGCAAGGTTGCAACTCTGAAGAAATATAGGGGAGGCACACAACTGAGCAACAGCATACCAACTGATCACTACACCTAAATGCCACCTACTGGATCACACCCTAAAGCTTCAACACCAAAAATGCCTCGCTAACATACCCCCATCTGAAACCAAAGACAAGAAGCCAGCTTCAAATGAAGACCCTGCACAAAGGCTTGGCCCCGTGAAAACATCCAGAAAAGAAGTCTATTGATTCTACTCAATCTACGCTGAAGTTGAAGAAACACGCACATGCAGAGACAAGAAAGAACCAACACAAGAACTCCAGTAACTCAACTAGACAGAGTGTTGTATGTCCTCCAAATGATCACAGCACTTCTCCAAAAAGAGCTCTTAACCAGGCTAAGGTGGCTGAAATAACAGAAATAAAATTCAGAAGATGGATAAAAATGAAGATCATTGAGATTCAGGAGAATGGCAAAAACCCAATTCAGGGAAACTAAGAATTACAATAAAATGATACAGAAGCTGACAGATGAAATAGTCAATATAAAAAATAACCTGGGATTTGGGAGCCAAGATGGCCGAATAGGAACAGCTCCGGTCTACAGCTCCCAGCGTGAGCGACACAGAAGACGGGTGATATCTGCATTTCCATCTGAGGTACCGGGTTCATCTCACTAGGGAGTGCCAGACACTGGGTGCAGGTCAGTGGGTGTGCGCACCGTGCGCGAGCCAAAGCAGGGAGAGGCATTGCCTCACCTGGGAAGCGCAAGGGGTCAGGGAGTTCCCGAAAATCGGGTCACTCCCACCTGAATACTGCGCTTTTCCGACGGGCTTAAAAAACCGCGCACCAGGAGATTATATCTCACACCTGGCTCGGAGGGTCCTATGCCCACAGAGTCTCGCTGATTGCTAGCACAGCAGTCTGAGATCAAACTGCAAGGCGGCAGCGAGGCTGGGGGAGGGGCGCCCGTCATTGCCCAGGCTTGCTTAGGTAAACAAAGCAGCCTGGAAGCTGGAACTGGGTGGAGCCCACCACAGCTCAAGGAGGCCTGCCTGCCTCTGTAGGCTCCACCTCTGGGGGCAGGGCACAGACAAACAAAAAGACAGCAGTAACCTCTGCAGACTTAAATGTCCCTCTCTGACAGCTTTGAAGAGAGCAGTGGTTCTCCCAGCACGCAGCTGGAGATCTGAGAACCGGCAGACTACCTCCTCAAGTGGGTCCCTGACCCCTGACCCCCGAGCAGCCTAACTGGGAGGCACCCCCCAGCAGGGGCAGACTGACACCTCACACGGCCCGGTACTCCAACAGACCTGCAGCTGAGGGTCCTGTCTGTTAGAAGGAAAACTAACAAACAGAAAGGACATCCACACCAAAAACCCATCTGTACATCACCATCATCAAAGACCAAAAGTAGATAAAACCACAAAGATGGGGAAAAAACAGAACAGAAAAACTGGAAACTCTAAAAAGCAGAGCGCCTCTCCTCCTCCAAAGGAACGCAGTTCCTCACCAGCAACGGAACAAAGCTGGATGGAGAATGACTTTGACGAGCTGAGAGAAGAAGGCTTCAGACGATCAAATTACTCTGAGCTATGGGAGGACATTCAAACCAAAGGCAAAGAAGTTGAAAACTTTGAAAAAAATTTAGAAGAATGTATAACTAGAATAATCAATACTAAGAAGTGCTTAAAGGAGCTGATGGAGCTGAAAACCAAGGCTCAAGAACTACGTGAAGAATGCAGAAGCCTCAGGAGCTGATGCGATCAACTGGAAGAAAGGGTATCAGCGATGGAAGATGAAATGAATGAAATGAACCGAGAAGGGAAGTTTAGAGAAAAAACAATAAAAAGAAACGAGCAAAGCCTCCAAGAAATATGGGACTATGTGAAAAGATCAAATCTACGTCTGATTGGTGTACCTGAAAGTGACGGGGAGAATGGAACCAAGTTGGAAAACACTCTGCAGGATATTATCCAGGAGAACTTCGCCAATCTAGCAAGGCAGGCCAACATTCAGATTCAGGAAATACAGAGAAGGCCACAAACATACTCCTCGAGAAGAGCAACTCCAAGACACATAATTGTCAGATTCACCAAAGTTGAAATGAAGGAAAAATTGTTAAGGGCAGCCAGAGAGAAAGGTCGGGTTACCCTCAAAGGGAAGCCCATCAGACTAACAGCGGATCTCTCGGCAGAAAACCTACAAGCCAGAAGAGAGTGGGGGCCAATATTCAACATTCTTAAAGAAAAGAATTTTCAACCCAGAATTTCATATCCAGCCAAACTAAGCTTCATAAGTGAAGGAGAAATAAAATACTTTACAGACAAGCAAATGCTGAGAGATGTTGTCACCACCAAGCCAGCCCTAAAAGAGCTCCTGAAGGAAGCGCTAAACATGGAAAGGAACAACCGGTACCAGCCGCTGCAAAATCATGCCAAAATGTAAAGACTATCGAGACTAGGAAGAAACTGCATCAATTAACGAGCAAAATAACCAGCTAACATCATAATGACAGGATCAAATTCACACATAACAATATTAACTTTAAATGTAAATGGACTAAATGCTCCAATTAAAAGACACAGACTGGCAAATTGGATAAAGAGTCAAGACCCATCAGTGTTCAGGAAACCCATCTCACGTGCAGAGACACACATAGGCTCAAAATAAAAGGATGGAGGAAGATCTACCAAGCAAATGGAAAACAAAAAAAGGCAGGGGTTGCAATCCTAGTCTCTGATAAAACAGACTTTAAACCAACAAAGATCAAAAGAGACAAAGAAAGCCATTACATAATGGTAAAGGGATCAATTCAACAAGAAGAGCTAACTACCCTAAATATATATGCACCCAATACAGGAGCACCCAGATTCATAAAGCAAGTCCTGAGTGACCTACAAAGAGACTTAGACTCCCACACATTAATAATGGGAGACTTTAACACCCCACTGTCAATATTAGACAGATCAACGCGACAGAAAGTTAACAAGGATACCCAGGAATTGAACTCAGCTCTGCACCAAGCGGACCTAATAGACATCTACAGAACTCTCCACCCCAAATCAACAGAATATACATTTTTTTCAGCACCACACCACACCTATTCCAAAATTGACCACATAGTTGTAAGTAAAGCTCTCCTCAGCAAATGTAAAAGAACAGAAATTATAACAAACTATCTCTCAGACCACAGTGCAATCAAACTAGAACTCAGGATTAATAATCTCACTCAAAACTGCTCAACTACATGGAAACTGAACAACCTGCTCCTGAATGACTACTGGGTACATAATGAAATGAAGGCAGAAATAAAGATGTTCTTTGAAACCAACGAGAACAAAGACACAACATACCAGAATCTCTGGGACACATTCAAAGCAGTGTGTAGAGGGAAATTTTTAGCACTAAATGCCCACAGGAGAAAGCAGGAAAGATCCAAAATTGACACCCTAACATCACAATTAAAAGAACTAGAAAAGCAAGAGCAAACACATTCAAAAGCTAGCAGAAGGCAAGAAATAACTACAATCAGAGCAGAACTGAAGGAAATAGAGACACAAAAAACCCTTCAAAAAATTAATGAATCCAGGAGCTGGTTTTTTGAAAGGATCAACAAAATTGATAGACCACTAGCAAGACTAATAAAGAAAAAAAGAGAGAAGAATCAAATAGACGCAATAAAAAATGATAAAGGGGATATCACCACCAATCCCACAGAAATACAAACTACCATCAGAGAATACTACAAACACCTCTACGCAAATAAACTAGAAAATCCAGAAGAAATGGATAAATTCCTCGACACATACACCCTCCCAAGACTAAACCAGGAAGAAGTTGAATCTCTGAATAGACCAATAACAGGAGCTGAAATTGTGGCAATAATCAATAGCTTACCAACCAAAAAGAGTCCAGGACCTGATGGATTCACAGCCGAATTCTACCAGAGGTACAAGGAGGAAATGGTACCATTCCTTCTGAAACTATTCCAATCAATAGAAAAAGAGGGAATCCTCCCTAACTCATTTTATGAGGCCAGCATCATCCTGATACCAAAGCCTGGCAGAGACACAACCAAAAAAGAGAATTTTAGACCAATATCCTTGATGAACATTGATGCAAAAATCGTCAATAAAATACTGGCAAACCGAATCCAGTAGCACATCAAAAAGCTTATCCACCATGATCAAGTGGGCTTCATCCCTGGGATGCAATGCTGGTTCAATATATGCAAATCAATAAATGTAATCCAGCATATAAACGGAACCAAAGACAAAAACCACATGATTATCTCAATAGATGCAGAAAAGGCCTTTGACAAAATTCAACAACCCTTCATGCTAAAAACTCTCAATAAATTAGGTATTGATGGGACATATTTCAAAATAATAAGAGCTATCTATGACAAACCCACAGCCAATATCATACTGAATGAGCAAAAACTGGAAGCATTCCCTTTGAAAACTGGCACAAGACAGGGATGTCCTCTCTCACCACTCCTATTCAACATAGTGTTGGAAGTTCTGGCCAGAGCAATTAGGCAGGAGAAGGAAATAAAGGGTATTCAACTAGGAAAAGAGAAAGTCAAATTGTCCCTGTTTGCAGATGACATGATTGTATATCTAGAAAACCCCATTGTCTCAGCTCAAAATCTCCTTAAGCTGATAAGCAACTTCAGCAAAGTCTCAGGATACAAAATCAGTGTACAAAAATCACAAGCATTCTTACACACCAACAACAGACAAACAGAGAGCCAAATCATGAGTGAACTCCCATTCACAATTGCTTCAAAGAGAATAAAATACCTAGGAATCCAACTTACAAGGGATGTGAAGGACCTCTTCAAGGAGAAGTACAAACCACTGCTCAATGAAATAAAAGAGGATACAAACAAATGGAAGAACATTCCATGCTCATGGGTAGGAAGAATCAATATAGTGAAAATGGCCATACTGCTGAAGGTAATTTACAGATTCAATGCCATCCCCATCAAGCTACCAATGACTTTCTTCACAGAATTGGAAAAAACTACTTTAAAGTTCATATGGAACCAGAAAAGAGCCCGCATCGCCAAGTCGATCCTAAGCTGAAAGAACAAAGCTGGAGGTATCACGCTACCTGACTTCAAACTATACTACAAGGCTACAGTAACCAAAACAGCATGGTAATGGTACCAAAACAGAGATATAGATCAATGGAACAGAACAGAGCCCTCAGAAATAATGCCGCATATCTACAACTATCTGATCTTTGACAAACCTGAGAAAAGCAAGCAATGGGGAAAGGATTCCCTATTTAATAAATGGTGCTGGGAAAACTGGCTAGCCATATGTAGAAAGCTGAAACTGGATCCCTTCCTTACACCTTTTACAAAAATGAATTCAAGATGGATTAAAGATTTAAACGTTAGACCTAAAACCATAAAAACCATAGAAGAAAACCTAGGCATTACCATTCAGGACATAGGCATGGGCAAGGACTTCATATCTAAAACACCAAAAGCAATGGCAACAAAAGACAAAATTGACAAATGGGATCTAATTAAACTAAAGAGCTTCTGCACAGCAAAAGAAACTACCATCAGAGTGAACAGGCAACCTACAGAATGGGAGAAAATTTTCGCAACCTACTCATCTGACAAAGGGCTAATATCCAGAATCTACAATGAACTCAAACAAATTTACAAAAAAAAACAAACAACCCCATCAAAAAGTGGGCAAAGGATATGAACAGACACTTCTCAAAAGAAGACATATATGCAGCCAAAAAACACATGAAAAAATGCTCATCATCACTGGCCATCAGAGAAATGCAAATCAAAACCACAATGAGATACCATCTCACACCAGTTAGAATGGCGATCATTAAAAAGTCAGGAAACAACAGGTGCTGGAGAGGATGTGGAGAAATAGGAACACTTTTACACTGTTGGTGGGACTGTAAACTAGTTCAACCATTGTGGAAGTCAGTGTGGCGATTCCTCAGGGATCTAGAACTACAAATACCATTTGACCCAGCTATCCCATTACTGGGTATATACCCAAAGGACTATAAATCATGCTGCTATAAAGACACATGCACACGTATGTTTATTGTGGCATTATACACAATAGCAAAGACTTGGAACCAACCCAAATGTCCAACAATGATAGAGTGGATTAAGAAAATGTGGCACATATACACCATGGAATACTATGCAGCCATAAAAAATGATGAGTTCATGTCCTTTGTAGGGACATGGATGAAATTGGAAATCATCATTCTCAGTAAACTATCACAAGAACAAAAAGCCAAACACCGCATATTCTCACTCATAGGTGGGAATTGAATGGTGAGAACACATGGACACAGAAAAGGGAACATCACACTCTGGGGACTGTTGTGGGGTGGGGGGAGGGGGGAGGGATGGCATTGGGAGATATACCTAATGCTAGATGACGAGTTAGTGGGTGCAGCGCACCAGCAAGGCACATGTATACATATGTAACTAACCCGCACATTGTGCACATGTACCCTAAAACTTAAAGTATAATAATAATAAATAAATAAATAAATAAATAAATAAAAATAACCTAACTGATCTGAGAGAGGTGAAAAACACACTACAAGAATTTCACAATGCAATTGCAAGTATTAGCAGCAGAAAAGAGAAAGTTGAGAGAAGAATCTCAGAACTTGAAGACTAGCTTTCTGAAATAAGAAAATTAGGCAAAAATAAAGAAAAAGGAATGAAAAGGAATGAACAAAACCTCCAAGAAATATGGGATTATGTAAAGAGGCAAAATCTATGATTCATTGGCACCCTGAAAAGAACAGTAAGAAAGCAAATAATTTGGAAAATATATTTCAGGATCTCATCCATGAAAACATCCGCAACTTTGCTAGAGAGGCCAACAGTCAAATTCAGGAAATACAGAGAACCCCTGCAAGATACTACCCAACAAGATCATCCCCAAAACACATAATCATCAGATTTTCTAAGGTCAAAATGAAAAAAAAAATTAAAGGCAGCTAGAGAGAAAGAGAAGATTTCTTACAAAGGGAATATCATCAGGCTAGAAGCAAACCTCTCATCAGATACTCTAAAAGTCAGAAGAGATTAGGGGCTTTTATTCAACTTTCTTAAAGAAAAAAGATCTTCAACAAAGAATTTCATATCCAGCCAAACTAAGCTTCATCAGTGAAGGAGAAATAAGATCCTTTTCAGATAAGCAAATGCTGAGGCAGTTGGTTACCATCAGACCAACCTTACAAGAGATCTTAAAAGGAGTAATAAATATAGAAAGGGAAGACCATTATCTGCCACTACAAAAACACACTTACATACACAGACCAGTGTTTCTATAAGGCAGCCACACAAAGAAGCTGGTATAATAACTAGATAAAAATACAATGACAAGATCAAATTCACACATATCAATACTAACCTTGAATGTAAATAGGCTAAATGCCCCATTGAATAGCCATAGAGTGGCAAGCTGGATAAAAAAGCAAGAATCAATGGTATGCTGTCTTTAAGAGATTCATCTCACACTCAATGACACCCATAGGCTCAAAATAAAAGGAAGGAGAAAAATCTACCAGGCAAATAGAAATGATAAAAAATCAATGGTTGAAATCCTAATTTCAGAGAAACAATTTAATTTGACAAAGGTCAAAAAAGACAAAAAAGGGCGTTGCATAATGGAAAAGTTTCAATTCAACAAGAAGTCCTAACTATTCTAAATGTATGCACCCAACACAGGAGCATCCAGATTCATAAAGCAAGTTCTTAGAGACCTTCAAAGAGACTTAGACTCTCACACAATAATAGTGGGAAACTTCAACACCCCAGACAGTATTAGACAGAACATCAAGGCAGAAAATTAATCAAGATATTCAGGATCTGAATTCATCAGTGGAACAAATGGATCTGATAAGCTTCTATAGAACTCTACCCCAAAACAACAGAATATACATTGTTCGTATCACCACATGGAATATACTCTAAAATTGACCTTCAATCAGACATAAAACAATCCTCAGCAAATGCAAAAGAACTGAAATCATACCAAACATATTCTTGAACTACAGCACAATAAAAAATAAATAAAGACTAAACAAATCGCTCTAAACCACACGACTACATGGAAATTATACAACTTGCTCCTGAATGACTTTTGGGTGAATCATGAAATTAAGGGAGGAATCAAGAATTTCTTTGAAACTAATGAGAAAAAAAATACAACATACCAGTATCTCTGGGATATAGCTCAGGCAGTGTTAATGAGGGAAGTGTATAGCACAAAACACTCACATCAAAAAGTTAGAAAGATCTCAAAGTAACAACCTAACATCATAATGAAAGGAACTAGAGAAACAAGAGCAAATCAACCCCAAAGCTATCAGAAAACAAGACATAACCAAAATCAGAACTGAACTGAAGGAAATCGACACACAAAGAAAGCATTCAAAAGATCAATGAACCCAGGAGTTGGACTTTTGAAAAAAATAGTAAGATAGATAAGCTGCTAGCTAGACTAATAAAGAAGAAAAGAGAGAATATCCAAATAAACATGATCATTAACAACAGAAGGTATATTACCATTGACCCCAAAGAAGTACAGATAACCCCCAGAGAGTATTATTAACGCCTGTATGCACACAAACTAGAAAACCTGGAAGAGATGGATAAATTCCTGGACACACAAACCTTCCCAAGACTGAACCAGGAAGAAATTGATTCCCTGAACAGACAAAAAGTGAGCTCCTAAGTAGGATTCAGTAATAAATAGCCTACCAACCAAAAGAAGCCAGGGGCCAGATGAATTTACAGCCAAATTCTACCAGATGTACAAAGAAGAGCCGATAACGTTCCTACTGAAAACATTCCAAAAACTTGAGAAAGAGGACTCCTCCCCAACGCATTCTATGAGGCCAGCATCATCCTGATACAAAAACTTTGCAGAAGCAAAACAACAACAACAACAACAAACTTCAGGCAGATATCCTTGATGAACATTCATGCAAAAATCCTCAAACACACACACACACACACACACACACACACACACACACACACAAACTCACAAACTGAATCCAGCCGAGTAGCACATCAAAAATCTTATTTACCTATCCCAGCACTTTGGGAGGCCAAGGCAGGCAGATCAGGAGGCCAGGAGTTTGAGACCAGCCTGGCCAACACAGTGAAACCCCGTCTCTACTAAAAATACAAAAATTAACTGGGCGTGGTGGTGGGTGCCTGTAATCCCAGCTACTCGGAAGGCTGAGGCAGGAGAATCGCTTGAACTTGGGAGGCAGAGGTTGCAGTGAGCCCAGATCATGCCACTGAGCCTGGGTGAAAGAGTTAGACTCCATCTCAAAAAAAAAAAAAGCTTATTTCCACGATCAAGTAGGCTTTATTCCTGGATGCAAGGCTGGTTGAACATATGCAAATCAATGAACCCGATTCATCACATAAACAGAACTGAAGACAAAAACATGATCATCTCAATAGATGCAGAAAAGGTTTTTGATAAAATTCAACATTTCTTCATGTAAAAAATTCTCAACAAACTAGATATTGAAGGAACATACCTCAAAATGATAAGAGCCATCTATGACAAATCCACAGCCAAATTCATACTGAAAGGGCAACAGCCTTCTTTTGAGAAGTGTCTGTTCATATCCTTTGCCCACTTTTTGATGGGGTTGTTTGGTTTTTTCTTTTTTTTTTATTATTATACTTTAAGTTTTAGGGTACATGTGCACAACGTGCAGGTTTGTTACATATGTATACATGTGCCATGTTGGTGTGCTGCACCCATTAATTCGTCATTTAACATTAGGTATATCTCCTAATGCTATCCCTTCCCCCTCCCCCTACCCCGCAACAGGCGCCAGAGTGTGATGTTCCCCTTCCTGTGATGCAGCCAAAAAACACATGAAAAAATGCTCATCATCACTGGCCATCAGAGAAATGCAAATCAAAACCACAATGAGATACCATCTCACACCAGTTAGAATGGCAATCATTAAAAAGTCAGGAAACAACAGGTGCTGGAGAGGATGTGGAGAAATAGGAACACTTTTACACTGTTGGTGGGACTGTAAACTAGTTCAACCATTGTGGAAGTCAGTGTGGCGATTCCTCAGGGATTTAGAACTAGAAATACCATTTGACCCAGCTATCCCGTTACTGGGTATACACCCAAAGGATTATAAATCATGCTGCTATAAAGACACATGCACACGTATGTTTATAGCGGCACTATTCACAATAGCAAAGACTTGGAACCAACCCAAATGTCCAACAATGATAGACTGGATGAAGAAAATGTGGCACATATACACCATGGAATACTATGCAGCCATAAAAAAGGATGAGTTCATGTCCTTTGTAGGGACATGGATGAAACTGGAAACCATCATTCTCAGCAAACTATCACAAGGACAAAAAACCAAACACGGCATGTTCCCACTCATAGGTGGGAATTGAACAATGAGAACACATGGTTGTTTTTTTCTTGTAAATTTGTTGGAGTTCACTGTAGATTCTGGATATTAACCCTTTGTCAGAAGAGTAGATTGCAAAAATTTTCTCCCATTCTGTAGGTTGCCTGTTCACTCTGATGGTAGTTTCTTTTGCTGTGCAGAGGCTCTTTAGTTTAATTAGATCCCATTTGTCAATTTTGGCTTGTGTTGCCATTGCTTTTGGTGTTTTAGACATGAAGTCCTTGCCCATGCCTATGTCCTGAATGGTATTGCCTAGGTTTTCTTCTAGGGTTTTTATGGTTTTAGGTCTAACATTTAAGTCTTTAATCCATCTTGAATTAATTTTTGTATAAGGTGTAAGGAAGGGATCCAGTTTCAGCTTTCTACATATGGCTAGCCAGTTTTCCCAGCACCATTTATTAAATAGAGAATTGTTTCCCCATTTCTTGTTTTTGTCAGGTTTGTCAAAGATCAGATGGTTGTAGATATGCAGCATTATTTCTGAGGGCTCTGTTTTGGAACCAAGCCAAATATCCAACAATGATAGACTGGATTAAGAAAATGTGGCACATATACACCATGGAATACTATGCAGCCATGAAAAATGATGAGTTCTTGTCCTTTGTAGGGACAGGGATGAAGCTGAAAACCATCATTCTCAGCAAACTATGGCAAGGACAAAAAACCAAACACCGCATGTTCTCACTCACAGGTGGGAATTGAACAATGAGAACACGTGGACACAGGAAGGGGAACATCACACACCGGGGCCTGTTGGGGGGTGGGGGGAGGGGGGAGGGATAGCATTAGGAGATATGCCTAATGTTAAATGACCAGTTAATGGGTGCAGCACACCAACATGGCACATGTATACATATGTAACTAACCTGCACGTTGTGCACATGTACCCTAAAACTTAAAGTATAATAAAAAAAGGACAGTTAAATAAGCTGAAAATAAATCAGAGAAAATTATAATGAGATGAAATTAGAATGTGAATGATAAAGAAATGAAGTACAAAATTAGAAGGTCTGCATTTATCTAATAATATTTCTAAAAGGTGAAACTGGAGTAAACGTATTCATTATTTGAAGAAATAGTTGGTAAGCATTTTATCATAGGTGACATTAGAATTAAATATTCAGAATTAAGCAGGACATGGAATCTCCAGTAAAATAAATGAAAACAAATATATGACTATACAACTGTATCAGAACCCTCCCATCAGCCTCATTCTTCTCTTGTTCCAGTGTTTACTGGGCTCTGGCAGCCTTCTCATATAGACCACTTGAGAATGTCTAACTTACTGTTCATAGCTTCCCCAAATCTACCTTCTCCTTTACTCTCTTCTCACTCCAGCAGGTGCTCTTGCTGCCAAAGCAACCCTCACAGTGTTCCCACAGGCTGAGCCAGTGGAAGGATTCTTGCTCCTTTCTCCACACTGCCTCCCCATGGTTTTGAGATGCATTTTCTAGGACTTCTAGGAGTTTTGATCAAGATCCAGCTTGATCATACATTCTCACATTGGATCACCCTCCTTCCCTGCCTTAGCACTCTTGCCCTGCAATCCTGGTCACTTTGATTATATTCCCCAATAAAGTAATAGCACTTAAATTTTTGTCTCAGGCTCTGCTTTCTGGGGAACCAAGGCTAAAAAACAGCTGATGAACCACAGTACATTAATAGCAAAGAGAAAAGTCTAAAAAGCAATTTGGAAGAAATACAATACCAAATAGGAAGAGCAATTAGACTGGTAGTAATTGTCCCATTATTACCAATAGAAGCAAGAATATAATTGAAAAATATTATCCTCAAAGTGCCAAAAGAAATTACCACTATATATAAAATACAATACTCAACAACCATATTAGAAAATGAAAGAAAAGACACTTTCAGACAAAGGCAGCTATTTTTACCTAGACTCTCATGGGTAGAACTTCTAAGGAATAGGTTTCTATAGAAAAGAATTAAGTTTACAGGAGACAGTGGGATTAAAGAAACAATGGTAGACAAAGAAATGGATATACGTGTACATAAATCCAAGATGGATTAAATGTTAAACATCACATAATTGAGTGACTAAGTTGGAGGCAGATTTAAAAATACAGTGCAATTAAGTTCCAGACAATAACTACATGGAAGATAAAATAAACTATGATCAGAATGCTTTTAATTTCTCATTTTTTCTGGATATTGTACAGATATTAAACGTAAGACTGTGATAATTCAAGTATGAATGTCAGCACTCTAACCACTAAATATCTGGCATTTAGAATAGGTAACCTTCATATTTGTTGAGGGAAAAATTGTTGAATGAGAAATTCAAGTTACAAAAAACATACTATTCACGCAAAGTCAAAACACACATAACCAGAATAAATATCGTTTGTAACTGCAAAAAAAGTCTTCGTGTAAAAAATATGGATGGTAGAATATAGTCAAATCTTAAGCAGTGTATAACTCTGAGCAGGAAGGGAAATGCTATGAATGTTAAGGGCTGTCAAACGTATAACTAATATTTTATTTCTAAAACAAAAGTTATCAATCAAATATAGAAAAATCACATCTTAAATCAGGGTTTTGGATAGACTGGTGGTTTTCTGTTGTTTTTTTTTGTACGTTCGAGACAGTTTGTAATAAGCAAGTGTTAAAAATTGATAATAGATTTGTGTTATTTATTAACTCATTAACTCTTATATCATGCTTTCTCTTCTCCTCCTTTGACAAGTCTTTCTTCTCTCCTCTTTCTCCTTATTTATCACTAGTACAAAATCTTGTACATGGCACACAGTAAGCACACATTAAATATTTGTTGATATGAATAATGTATGTGAATGTACTTTGCAAAGTAAAACCATTATCATAAGTATAATCTCCTCACAAAAATAGCATAATTTCCTCCAAGAAGTGAACTGCTGTAAGCTGTGTAATATTCTATGGAGTATCTCAAAATTAAAAGATGTAAAAATTATGTGTACTATATTCCCAAACGTATACTAAATAATATTAAAGTTGAAAAAATTTGACTAACATCAGTATATTAGCTAAAACTTTTAAAAATAAATGTCCTACCAAATTGCTAGATTCCAGAAAGCTGCAGACTAGAGCACTTTCTTAAATGTGATTCTGATAAAATTCCTGTAGACCTACTTTTGCAAACAAACATTTCTGTAGTGAAACTGTTACTATATATCACTGGATAAACCACAGCATATACGAATAAACTAACTATTTATTGCTACACAATTATATATAACTTATGTGGAAGACTATTAAGTATCCTAGTATACAAAGGCAATCTATTAATCTAAGAGTATAATTTATAAAAGAGGTGAGAATAGATACCTTATTGTTATGCCAGAATAAATGCTATCAGAATTGCACTTGAGGTACTATTATAAAGTAGGACACTTGCTGGAAGAGAAAACAAATTATCAAGTGTGGGAGGCAAAAGAAAGAATAATGAAAATTTTAACCTCTTTCCACAGAATTGTGGGCAATATATGCTTTAGCAAAGGAACTAAAATGACAAAAAATCGTTTTTTTAAAAAATATTTTATTTCTGGTTACTAGGTTCTGCCAGAGCACTTCTAACCAAATATATACATGTGTGTATATAGATGTATATGTATATAAATCATGGCCAAATCATATGTATATGTATGTATATATACATATATACATACATATATATACATATACATATGATTTGGTCATGATTTTTAAAGTAATGTGTTTTTTTCAAAAATTGCAGTATTTCACAGAATATAAACACATAATATTTTGCCCAATGTTATCTGAGATTTAATAAAAACTATCATTATCTAATGTCCTCATAATGAGATTCTATACTATGCAAGAACAAAACAGAATTGAAAGAATATATTAATATCCACATGTTATAGTTAGTACAACCAGGGTGGCACATTCATAAGAGATGATCTCAAGACCCACAAATATACCTGCATTCACAGACCTCAATCTACTCTAGCATTAGTTTCACCACCCCATTTAAAAATATTGTGAACCTTTCTCAAAAGTCTACTCTAAGTCAAACTCTCTTTCACAGTCAACTAAGATATCACATACTTATTTCATGGACACCAAGGGAGAATTGAACTCTGGTATCAAAATATGCTTTGAGTCCACTGAGAGACTCTTTTAGAGCCATAGTCTATATACATAATAAAAACTGTGAGTTGATAATCACAACATAAAACTCATTTGGTGTTTAAGCCTACAGTGTTTCCTTGAAATTGATGTTCTATGGATCTTTATTATATTAATATTACTGGAAAAGAGATAAAAATTTTAAACTATATTATGCTTCATAAAAACACGTACAGTTGGCAAAGTGTATAAACAAGTCAAATCTTTTCATTTGTATTTTATGTTTTACATTTTTAGAAAAGTTTCAAACTCAAATAAAAGTTGATGGACAAGTGAAATAAATGAACATCCCAATTATTGTTATGTCCCAATTGTTATAGTGCAATATCACCACAACAATTCCATCTTTCTCTACACACACACACGCACAAACACACACACATGCACATGCCTCTCTTTTATCAAACAATCTGAAATTAGGTTGAGGACGTCATATTTCACCCTGTCTACTTCATTATTCCTCTCCCTTGTATTAAGGATCCTTTATACATGTCCATTACCACACTTTAAAAAATTAACATTAGATCAATACTATTATTCACTATACTAAAACTTTCCTCATTTGCACTCTGATCAAAATGCACATTTGTACATAGCTTTTTTCTTTTCCCCCATGATCCAATTGATTTATTCAACCATATTTTTTTTGCTATAATGGCTCTTTAGGTTCCTGTGATCTGCAGGTGTTAATCTGCTGTCCTCTACTTTTAATGGCACCAAGTCCTTTGCAGAGTCAAGGCCAGTTGTTCTTCAGTATATTCCACCTTCAGGATTCATCTGAATGTTTCCCTATGTTTAGATTGAGATCAAATATTTATGACAAAGACATCACATAGATGATGTTATGAAACTTTCACTACATCTCATCAATAGGCATATAATATGAGAATATAACACTATTAGTGATTTACGAGGTGACTACCAGTCTTTCCATTGTAAAGTCATAGTTTCCATCTATAAATAGTAATTAATTAAAGGGATGGTGAATATATTGTTCTCCATACTTTCTTACCATATAGTTTTAGCCATTGATCCTCATATGAATCTATTTTGACATCAAGGGTTACAAAATACCAAGTTTCTAATTCTGAAATTTCTTTAATATTTATTTGCTGAGATCATTTGGTAAGGAAGAATATCTCCTATTTTTTCTATTTCTCTCACTTCTTCTTAAATGCATTATGAATATTTCTTTGCTTATTCATGGAAATTTTTAATTAGTTCATTTAATATCATTCTTGTCTTTAATGGTCACATAGTACAAAATTTATCCATTAAATTCACCCTCAAACTAGCTCCCGGATCCTTTGAATGTGGTTCCATTTGTGTTTGAGCACTTCCTTACATTCTGGTTCACCTTGTACTTCCTCTGTTCTTTCCTATAATCAGTCATCTCTCCAAGGAACCTTCATTCCTTTCCTTTCAGCAAGAATTTATTTTTAGAAATCAAGATCTCAGTGTTATTTATACTCTTTGGTACTGGCACGTCAACATGTTAAAGCCTTACAATTATTTCTAACTCTTTTTCACCCTAATTATTTTCTAGAGTTAGAATATAATTGTTATATTGAGATGCAGTGTTTTTTTTTTTTAAAAAAAAACAACAATCGACACAATTAAGGGAGGGTGATATATTTTGATTCTGCATTATTCCTTTGTTTCTCTAGGAGCTCTAATCTCCTCCACTTGCTTTATTCTTTCTCTTAATTTTCAAAGTCCAAGGAATGCCCATCCCTTTCCAAGTTGCTCCCTTTCCTCCAGAATCACTGTCTTCCTATGACTGTTACCTCTGATCCTATATTTTCAGGTCCCTTCCTTTGAATTCTCAGTAGCCAATATTCTGATCCTTCTTATCCTATACCTCTTATACCTGTTCTTAGTATTTTCCCTCTCAGGGTAGGACCTCATTTTTTTTTTTTTTTTTTACCATTTCAGAGAGAGAATTGTAGGTTTTATTGACTAAGAAGGTAAAGGGATGCAAATTACTTATACAGGTTTTAATTCCAGACAACAGAATAGTGGCTATTAGCAATAAAATCAGTGAGTATTCTGAACATGTTCAATTTCCAGGTAGGGGATTTTATTGGAAATATGGATCTAGAGCTAGTAGAAGAAGCTATATTTAGGAGTCATCCACAAAGAAGCTTGAGAAACAAATGAAAGTGTATATTGAGAAGTGCGTAGAGAACAATGTTAAGGGGGCTGTGGGGAAAAAACAACATTTAGAAGATAACTGAAGGAAATCATAGAGGACAAAAAGTACAATCTAATTTTTCTCCCTGACTGAGTGAAAAACCACTTTTAATACTATTGTAATAAGAATTTATTATGACCTCTTCATGATACTGCCATTTTTTTTCAATCTCAACAATCATCATCACATCCCAGAGCTATCTCATGACAAGAGCTTTCTAAATACTAATTGCCTGAACACTGAAGAAAATTAGTATCTGATACTAAGGTGTAACTTCTCTGTAATTCAAAAAAGGGAGGCCTTCTGTTCTTGAAATATTCAAACTAAACAGGACAATTTTACCTGAAGCTGTTCTCACAACCCTATTTTTCAGCATTATAAGTTTGCTAATGGACAAACATGCTCATAACTGAAATATTTAAATTATGTAAAAGTATAACTCTACAACCTGCAGAACTAACATTTGATGCATTTTTCCTGGTCTTTCAATGCTAAGTTTTTATTGCGTGTATGTAAATATCATTTATTGAAGGCTTACTAAATACCAAACCCTGTGTTAAAACACTGTCTTAGGACCTCCTTTTTCTAAGGGAAATTTATCTGTGTTTTGGCACTACTACTATACTGCTGCATGTTCCTGATTTTCAAGCAGTCTCATCTGGATCTCTTCAGCCTGGGCTCCAGAGCAGAATCTGCTGGTTTCATGTTTTTCTTCTCCCTAGCATATATAAACTCAAGTTGTACTGCTCTTTGACCTTTAATTATGCTGTTGGCATAAGATTTATATGGTTTTATTTGCTTTCCTTGTTGACCTCTGGAGCATGTGTAGAAATATTAGGATTTAAGAAGCTGCTGTTGTTCTACAGGAATTCAGAGGTCTGAAACAACCACTTTATGTTTGAAATTATTTTTATGTTTTATTTAAATTTTTAACTTGCATTGCATGTGGAGTTATTGTTCACTCAAAAAAGAGGAAGGGCTTTAAAAACACAAACAATATAATTGCAAGATTCACAATAATATTATTTTTAATTAGAGAAGGGCTTATGTCTCTGAACCAAGTTACTTTTATTTTTGAGGTTCACTTACACTGCTCTGAAAATTCTAAAATCAAAAACAAATTTAAGAATGGAAGAGTATTTTTTCATAATTTCTTCTGTCTAGCACTTCTGAATTAACTAAGAAATCACTTATGTGCCTACTGAATAATGATGTGTTAGACATCAAAAATTAATTTTAATCAGTTTCTCATTTATTTTTCCGTTTCGTATAGTGTTCAGATGGTTAGACTGTTTTTAGATGCCTGCCTTCTTTTTAACTAAGAAATAGTAAATCAAGTGAGAGTACAAAAAGAAAACAAATGACACTGGGAAAGATTATAGCATCTAATTGAACAGAAGAAAACCTAGGAACTTATCAAAGTCATTTAAAATTTCCAATCAGCCATTACCAATATCTTCTTAAAGTTTAATAAGTGTGTTTTCCATTTTGCCAGCCAGGTCATTA
Organism: Homo sapiens; assembly: GCF_000001405.40. Classification (NCBI taxonomy): domain Eukaryota; kingdom Metazoa; phylum Chordata; class Mammalia; order Primates; family Hominidae; genus Homo; species Homo sapiens. Next base: position 34,432,970 of record NC_000023.11, read on the forward strand.
ATGATCAATTCTCTCACTCCCCACACTGGTTTACAAGCTACAATGATATTGCAGTGTTTGTTAGTAGGACTACAAAAAGTAGAATCAAGATAATGTCAATCCTGCTATACACCACAGCCATTATACGCTGCTTTGGGCAAGAGAGAGTGGGGTGGGGAAGGGTGAGCACTGGGGAAAGGGGATTACCTTAAGTAGATAAGTATACAGCAAACAATAAGTAGTTAAAATAAATACAAGTTTTTATCTACTTGAATTTCTGGTCCCATATCCCAATGCAGTAAATGCTGGTAATCTGAAACAGACCACATAGGATGCTCTACCTTTTCTAAAGTAGTTAGGCTTAAATAGCTTTATGTCAAAGCAGGCCATACTCTGTTTTAATTCTTCTGTAATTTATTCAACAAAAATGTGAGTTTAAAATGTGATCGGTTCTATACTATAAGCTAAAATATTCTTTGTTTATACTTTTCCAAAGCTTACAGTCTATTGGAAAGGAAGCAATGAAACAATAATACCAAATACATGCAATTAAAAATATTGACAAGTTTTCATGTGAAAAATGTGCTATTTTGAGACACACAAATATAACAGCAGTCATGATTTAGATGAGGGATTGGAGTAGATCTCCTTAAAGGTATCCTGAGAATAGGAGTTAGCCTAAGGGAGAACAGGTAAGCAGGAATGGGGATGACATGGCAGGCGTTCACACTTCAGCTTCCTTACTTTCTAATTTGGAGCTGTGTGAAAACAAGAGACAGAAGAAAAACGAGCAATAACAAAATGGCCTGTATTTAACAGAGTAGCTCATTGGTTTGACCAATGCTCTAGCCATTTTGGTGAAATGGATAGAACCACTTTGATGAACTAAAATTTTAACACAGCATCCACTTCCCAAAGTAAGTAAGGCTTATTCATTCTAAAGAATGCCTAGACTATCCTCCTCTTTTTGGAGGTGTTATGTGAGGGATTAGAAAATGGTCAGAGAGTAGCTTTGAATTACTTCTCGTGGAAGCAACATGCCTGATTTTGAGCAGATGGTCTCTCAGAAAGAAACATCTAGAAGCATCCTTCACATTTCTGGTCCTTCCTTAATTGTCTGCAGTCACATCTCCTTCTCCTTCTTGTCCCACTGAAGACAGTATTCTTTTTTTATTTATTTTATTTTTTTATTATACTTTAAGTTTTAGGGTACATATGCACAATGTGCAGGTTAGTTACATATGTATATATGTGCCATGTTGGTGTGCTGCACCCATTAACTCGTCATTTAACATTAGGTATATCTCCTAATGCTATCCCTCCCCCCATCCCCCACCCCACAACAGGCCCCAGTGTGTGAGTTCCCCTTCCTGTGACCATGTGTTCTCATTGTTCAATTCCCACCTATGAGTGAGAACATGCCGTGTTTGGTTTTTTGTTCTTGCAATAGTTTGCTGAGAATGATGGTTTCCAGCTTCATCCATGTCCCTCGAAAGGACAAGAACTCATCATTGTTTATGGCTGCATAGTATTCCATGGTGTATATGTGCCACATTTTCTTCATCCAGTCTATCATTGTTGGACATTTGGGTTGGTTCCAAGTCTTTGCTATTGTGAATAGTGCTGCAATAAACATACGTGTGCATGTGTCTTTATAGCAGCATGATTTATAATACTTTGGGTATATTCCCAGTAATGGGATGGCTGGATCAAATGGTATTTCTAGTTCAAGATCCCTGAGGAATCACCACACTGACTTCCACAATGGTTGAACTAGTTTACAGTCCCACCAACAGTGTAAAAGTGTTCCTATTTCTCCACATCCTCTCCAGCACCTGTTGTTTCCTGACTTTTTAATGATCGCCATTCTAACTGGTGTGAGATGGTATGTTTTAGACTGATAATCCTTCCACCTGTCTTCTAGATTTCATATATTATCATTTCTTCAAGGACATGGCTTCATCAGACTCATGTTCCATTATCTTCTCCCCCTCTACTGGTTCTTTCACCTTCAACAATTAAGAAAATATTCATTTAAACTACCAAAATCTTCAAAAACAACTCTTCTTTAATTCTGCATCTTCCCCACCCTGCTACCACCATCAACAGCAATCTCACCACTCCTTTCATGCACTTTATTCCTCAGTTTCTTTGGAAAGTAATATAAGCTCTGTACCTCTACTTCTTAATCCCTATGCATTTCTCAACTTACTGGAATTTAAATTATTCTCTAGTCACTCCACTAATAAAAGCAATCACTGCTATCAACAAGGTCATCTAATTTTTCAAATCCAGTTGTAACTTTTCTGGGATCATTTTACATGACCTCTGAAATCCCCAGAATTGTTGGTCACCTCCATTTCCCTGAAATTCCTTTCTCCTTTGATTTCTATGACCCCTCTAAAGATGTTCCTTGCTTATCTTTCCCCTCTGCAAGATCTTCTTTTGGTGCTTTCCAGAGCTTACTTAAAGCTTTTCAAATACATGTATATTTGGAAAATAAATGTTGTTCAGTAAGTGCTTCCAATCTTTTCTCTTCTGTCTTTCAACAAAAGAGGTTCTGACTGCTCTTTATTAGTCTTTCTGTTGCCATCAGCTCTCTGAAAGGAGACAGACTTTCACAACATATTTTTTTTTTATTCTAGTCCACATTGAATTAGGGAAAGAGGAAGAAGTAAACAAATAAGAGAAATATATTCTTGCTTAAGAAATAGTTATTGGCAGAGTGTCTAGAGAGGATAACAGAGAAGATTAGGGTTCAATTAAAAAGTTTGGAAAAGCTAAGCTAAAAATAATTGTTTGGTGAAAAGAAAGTGCATGGGAAAATGGCATTTTAAACGAGTTTCTCTAAATGAAATGTATCTTTGCCAGAGTTTGATAAACACATGTAAAAACTCCAATTATTTTGAAGTTCATTTGGTTCACGGGCTGTGTTTCTTGTTCTAAAACACAACTCTCAGACTAGAATATGGGTTTCATTTATTCAATTGTGTTATCCACAGATTAGAACATAGGATGCCTCATTTTGTGAAAATTCACTGAGCTGTGTGCTTTTATGATTGGTACACTTCTCTGTAAGCTATACTTTAATAAAGGATTTATTTGTAAATATTTTTTTCTCATGGTGATTCATGGCAGCCCTTCCTAAATTTATATCCTACTCAGACTCAGCTTTTGAGCTCAAGACATAAATTTTCAACTACTTAGCAGATAATCCCAATCCCGTGAACCATAGACAACTATATACAACATGTTCAAGTGGAAAACTTGTTTTTACTCATCTATTTTCTACTTCTGTAAGCAGGACCACAATATAGCTAGTTGTTCGGAATAGATATTTCTTTTCCATATAATCCAGGTTCTGAGGCAGGCCCAGATTATCCCCATTCCTTGTTCCACATACACACATCTATCATCTTAGTTAGTCCATGCCACATTTATAAGCCAAAAGAGTATACACATCTGGTCTTTTTAAGGGCAGTTATATATCCCACTATCCATTCTTGTCAATCCTTCCACAAAAATCCTATTTTTTCTTTTTAATCTAAACATATTTCTATCCATTCAGTTTCTTCAGCAGAACATAAGAGCATCCAAAACTCATTTGGTTTTGCCAAATGATGGAGGTTGTTGTGAAAACTTTGCAGCTCTTAACTGATTTAATCCTTAACAAAATTTATAAAGAAAATATTATAATTATTATCTCAGTTCGATAGATATAAATCTGAAGCATCAAAACATTTCATAATAGCTAACAATGGGTAGAACTTGGATTTGAACCAAGGTAGTATGACTTCAGAATCTCTGCTGTTAAGCAGCTTTCAAGACCCAGTACAAGTTGTTCTTTCCAACCTTCCTTTTATTGACTTCTTTTGTATTTCCTAAAAATATCATGTTTTCTATCTCTGAGAGCTTTTAGATTATTTTCCTCTCACCTCAAAAACTCTCCTCATAGTCATGGCCATACAAATCTTGTCTACCTAAATAACTCCTCTTTCACAAAGTAACACATATTATCTTCTTCCAAACTTTCTCCTGACATCTCCATCTTTATCTTATGAGATGACAGGGATACCTTTACCACTACTTTTTTTTAACCTGCCATTATAATTGTTTTCCCTCTTATTTGTTGCCCTTATTAAGAAAAATTCATGAAGCTAATCACTGTTTAATGATAGTAATCTATGCATTATGTGGTATACAGTTAACGATATAAAGTTATTGTCTACTAAATTGATAAAGTTACAGAGCAATAATATTTCTGTGACTAATTAATGGTGAAATAATAACTCAGATAATCCAAACCAACCAGGGGCTGAAGGGATCCCCCAGCACAGATTGCTCTACCAAAACGCGGCCAGACTCCTTCTTTAAGCACGTCCCTGCACTCTTCCTCCTCACTGAGTGGGACTTCCCTACAGGGGCCTCCAGTGGCTAGATGTTCCCACTAGTGGCTAGATGAATCCACTGATGATCCCTGGTTGACAGAGATTTGAATTCTCCCTGGGATGGAGTTCTCAGAGGGAGGAGCAGACTAATATCTTTGCTGTTTGAGCAACTCAGATGTTCTGCAGGCTTTGGAGAGCCCAAGATGACCAGGGCAGAAGTAGGACCCCAGCACAGCACAGCTGCTCTACAAAAGCGTGGCCAGACTGCTTCTTTAAGTGGGTCCCCAATTCTGTTCCTCCTCACTGGGCGGAACCTCCTATCTGGGGCCTCCAGCCAACACACTGGTGTTCTGTGGCTGAAAGATTAAAATTCTCCCTGGGATGGAGTTCCCAGGGGGAGGGGCGGGCCCCCATCTTTGTTGTTTGGGCTTTGAAAAGCTCAGGCTGACCTGGGGAGGGAGCAGCATGGAAACACGGCACAGCTGCTCTGTGAAAGTGTGGCCAGACCGCTTCTTTAAGCAAGTCCCTGATTTATTCCTCCTCACTGTGCAGGACCTCCCAACCAGGGCCTCGAGCCAACTCCACCACACACAGGCTCAAAATAAAGGGATGGAGAAAAATCTACCAAGTAAATGGAAAACAGAAAATAGCAGAGATTGAAATTCTAGTTTCTGAAAGAAACAGACTTTGAACCAACAAAGATCAAGAAAGACAAAGAAGAGCCTTACATAATGGTAAAGGGTTAAATTCAACAAGAAGAGCTAACTATCCTAAGTATATCTATATTCATCTGTCTGTCGATCGATTGATAGAGATGCACTTAGCATAGGAGCACCCAGATTCATAAAGCAAGTTCTTAGAGACCTTCAAAGAGACTTAGACTCCCACACAATAATAATGGGAGACATTAAAAACTCACTGACAATATAAGACAGATCATCACGATAGAAAATTAACAAAGATGTTAAGGAACTGAGCTCAGCACTGGGTCAAATGGACATGATAGATATCTACAGAGCTCTCCACCCAAAAACAACAGAATATACATTCTTCTAATTGCCACATTGCACCTACTCTGAAGTCGATCACGCAATCGGAGGTAAAACACTGCTCAGCAAATGGAAAAGAACCGAAATCATAACAAACAGTCTCTCAGACCACTTTTTTGAATCTAATTCAAAATCAGGACTAAGAAATTCACTCAAAACCAAACAATTACATGAAAATTAAATAACCTGTTCCTAAATGACTTTTGGGTAAATAATGAAATTAAGACAGCCATCAAGAAGTTCTTGAAACTAATGAGAACAAAGATACAACACACCAGAATCTCTGGGACCCAGCTGAGGCAGCGTTAAGATAAAAATTTATGGCACGATATGCAAACATCAAGAGTTAGAAAGATCTCAAGTTAACAATCTAACATCACAACTAAAAGAACTTGAGAACCAAGAGCAAACAAATTCCAAAGCTAGCAGAAGACAAGAAATAAACAAAATCAGAGATGAAGTGAAGGAGATGGAGACATGAAAAACTATTCAAAAGATCAACGAATCCAGGAGCTGTTTTTTGAAAAAATTAATAAAATAGATCACTAACTAGACTAATAAAGAAGAAAAGGAAGAAGATTCAAATAAACACAATAAGAAATAATAAGGGGAATATTACCACTGATCCCACAGAAATAAAATCATCACAGAATATTATAAACACCTCTATGCACATAAACTAGAAAATCTAGAATAAATTGGTAAATTCCTGGACACATACACCCTCCCAAGACTGAACCTCCTATGGAAAGTATTTCAAAAAATTAAAAAGGAGGGATTCCTCCCTAATTTATTCTATGAGGCCAGCATCATCCTGATACCAAAACCTGGGAGAGATACAAGAAAAGAAAACTTCAGGCCAATATACTTGATGAGCACTGATGAAAAAATCTTCAGCAAAATACTGGCAAATTGAATCCAACAGCACATCAAAAAGCATATCCACCATGATCAGGTAGACTTCATCACTGAGATGCAAGGTTAGTTCAACATACCCAAATCAATATATATGATTCATCACATAAAGAGAACTAAAGACAAAAACATATGATATCTCAATGGAGGCAGAAAAGGCCTTTGATAAATTTCAACATCCATTCATGTTCAAAACTCTCAATAAACTAGGTAATGAAGGAACATAACTCAAAATAATAAGAGCCATATTCGACAAACCCACAGCCAACAGCATACTGAACAGGCAAAAACTGGAAGCATGTCCCTTGAAAACTGGAACAAGACAAGGATGCCCTCTCTCACCACTCATATTCAACATAGTATTGGGAGTTGTGGCCAGGGCAATCAGGCAAGAGAAAGAAAGAAAAGACATTCAAATAGGAAGAGAGGAAGTCAGATATCCCTGTTTGCAGATGACATGATCCTATATCTAGAAAACCCAACCGTCTCAGCCCAAAAGTTTCCTAAACTGATAAGCAACCTCAACGAAGCCTCAGCATACAAAATCAATGGGCAAACATCACTAGCATTCCTATACACCAACAACAGTCAAGCTGTGAGCCAAATCAGGAATGTACAAGTTCTGTACAAGATCCCATTCCCAATTGCCACAAAAAAGAATAAAATACTTAGGAATACAGCTAACTAGGGGAGTAAATATCTCTACAAGAAGAACTGCTGAGCATTGCTCAAAGAATGGAACACAAATGGAAAAACATTTGATGCTCATAGATAGAAAGACCCAACCAATATTGTTAAAATGGCCATACTGCCCAAAGCAATTCATAGCTTCAATTCTATTCCCATTAAACTACCATTGACATTCTTCACAGAACTAGAAAAAACTATTTTAAAATTCATATGGAACCAAAGAAAGAGCCCGAAGAGCAAGGCAGCCCAAAGCAAAAAGAAAGAAGCTGGAGGCATCATGCTACCTGACTTCAAACTGTATTACAAGGCTACAGTAACCAAAACAGGATTGCACAGGCACAAGAACAGAAACATAGGCCAATGGAACAGAATAGAGAACCCAGAAATAAAACTGCACACCTACAACCATCTGATCTTGGACAAACCTGACAAAAACAAGCAATGAGGAAATGATTCCCTTTTCAATAAATGGTGCTGGGAAGACTGGTACCCATATGCAGAAGACTGAAATTGAATCCCATCCTGATTTAATTCTCAGCTTGGTCGCTGGTTGGTGTATAGCAGTGCTACTGATTTGTGTGCATTGATTTTGTATCCTAAAACTTCACTGAATTCATTTATCAGATCTAGGAGTTTTTGGATTAGTCTTTAGGATTTTCTAGGTATACAATCATATCATTGGTTAACATCGACAGTTTGACTTCCTCTTTACCAATTTGGATTTCCTTTATTTCTTTCTCTTGCCTGATTGCTCTGGCTAGAACTTCCAGTACTATGTTGAATAGAAGTGGTGATAGTGGGCATCCTTGTCCTCTTCCAGTTCTCAGGGAGAATATTTTCAACTTTTCCCCATTCAGTACAATGTTGGCTGTGGGTTTGTCATAGATGGCTTTTATTACCTTAAGGTATATCCCTTCTATGTCACTTTGCTGAAGGTTTTAATCATAAAGCGATGCTGGATTGTGTCAAATGGTTTTTCTGCATCTATTGAGATAATCACATGATTTTTGTTTTTAATTCTGTTTATGTGGTGTATCACATTTATTGGCTTGCAAATGTTAAACCATCACTGAATCTCTGGTATAAAACCCACAGCTGCAAAACAAAATAAAGTAAAATAAAATACTTAGGAATATACCTAAGAAGGGAGGTGAAAGATCTCTACAAGTGTATTAGTCCGCTTTCACACTGCTGATGAAGACATACCAGAGACTGGGAAGAAAAATAGGTTTACCCCTACCATGAGAACAGTATGGGGGAAACTGCCCCCGTGATTCAAATGATCTCCCACCAGGTCCCTCCCACAACATGTGGGAATTATGGGAGTACAATTCAAGATGAGATTTGGGTGGGGACACAGAGCCAAACCATATCATTCTGCCTCTGGCCCCTCCAAATCTCATGTCCTTACATTTCAAAACCAATCATACCTTCCCAACAGTCCCCCAAAGTCAACTCATTTCAGCATTAACTCAAAAGTCCACAGTCCAAAGTCTTATCTGAGACAAGGCAAGTCCCTTCCACCTATGAGCCTGTAAAATCAAAAGCAAGTTAGTTACTTCTTAGATACAATGGGGGTACAGACATTGGGTAAATACAGCCATTCCAAATGGGGGAAATTGGCCAAAACAAAGGGGCTACCAGCCTCATGCAAGTCTGAGATCCAGCGGGGCAGTCAAATCTTAAAGCCCCAAAATGATCTCTGATGCCATGTCTCGCATCTGGGTCATGCTGATGCAAGAGATAGGCTCCCACAGCCTTGTGAAGCTCCCTTGTAGCTTTGCAGGGTATAGCCCCCCTCCTGGCTGCTTTTATGGGTTGGCGTTGAGTGTCTGTGGCTTTTCCAGGCACATGGTGAAAGCTGTCAGTGGATCTACCATTCTGGGGTGTGGGGGACAGTGACCCTCTTCTCACAGCTCCACTAGGTGGTGGCCAGTAGGGACTCTTTGTGGGGGCTCTGACCACACATTTCCCATCTGCACTGCCCTAGCAGAGGTTCTCCATGAGGACCCCGCCACTGCAGCAAACTTCTGCCTGGGCATCCAGATGTTTCCATACATCTTCTGAAATCTAGGCGGAGGTTCCCAAACCTCAATTGTTGACTTCTGTGCACTCGCAAGCTCAACACCACATGGAAGCTGCCAAGGTTTGGGACTTGCACCCTCTGAAGCCATGGCCTGAGCTCTATGTCAGCCCCTTTAAGCCATGGCTGGAGCAGCTGGGACCGAGGGTACCAAGTCCCTAGACTGCACACAGCACAGGGAAGCTGGACCTGGCCCATGAAACCATTTTCTCCTAGGCCTCCTGGCTTGTGATGGGAGGGGGCTTCCATGAAGACCTCTGACATGCCCATTGTCTGGGGGATTAATATTTGGCTCCTCATTACTTATGCAAATTTCTGCAGCCAGCTTGAATTTCTCCTCAAAAAATGGCGTTTTCTTTTCTATTGCATTCTCAGGCTGCAAATTTTCCAAACTTTTATGCTGTGTTTCCCTTTGAAAACTGAATGCTTTTAACAGCACCCAAGTCACATCTTGAATGCTTTGCTGCCTAGAAATTTCTTCCACCAGATACCCTAAATCATCTCTCTCAAGTTCAAAGTTCTACAAATCTCTAGGGCCGGGGCAAAATGCTGCCAATCTCTTTGCTAAAGCATAACAAGAGTCGCCTTTGTTCCAGTTCCCAACAAGTTCCTCATCTCCATCTGAGACCACTTCAGGCTGGACCTTATTGTTCACATCAGTATCAGCATTTTTGTCAAAGCCATTCAACAAGTTTCTAGCAAGTTCCAAACTTTCCCACATTTTCCTGTCTTCTTCTAAGCCCTCCAAACTGTTTCAACCTCTGCCTATTACCCAGTTCCAAAGTCTCTTCCACATTTTGGGGTATCTTTTCAGCAACACCCCACTCTACTGGTACCAATTTACTGTATTAGTCTGTTTTCATGCTGCTGACAAAGACATACCAGAGAGTGAGAAGAAAAAGAGGTTTAATTGGATTTACAACACCACATGGCTGGGGAGGCCTCAGAATCATGGTCGGAGGCAAAAGGCAATTCTTACATGGTGGCGGCAAGAGAAAATGAGGAAGATGCAAAAGCAGAAACCCCTGATAAAACCGTCAGATCTCATGAGACTTATTCAGTACCACTAGAATAGTATGGGGGAAACTGCCCCCATGATTCAAAGTATCTGCCACTGGGTCCCTCCTACAACACGTGGGAATTATGGGAGTATAATTCAAGATGAGATTTGGATGGGGACACAAAGCAAAACCATATCAAAAAGGAAAACTACAAAACACTGCTGAAAGAAATCATAGACAACACAATCAAATGGAAATAAATCACATGCTTGTTGATGGGTTGAATCAATATTGTGAAAATGATCATACTGCCAAAAGCAATCTATAAATTCAATGCAATTCCCACCAAATACCATCATTATTCTTCACAGAACTAGAGAAAACATTCCTAAAATTTATATGGAACCAGAAAAGAGCCCACATAGCCAAAGAAAGACTAAGCAAAACAAACAAGTCTGGAGGAATCACACTACCTGATTTCAAGCTATACTGTAAGACCATAGTCACCAAAACATCATGGTACTGGTATAAAAATAGACACATAGACCAATGGAACAGAAAAGACAACCCAAAAAATAAAGCCAGATACTTACAGCCAACTGTTCTTCAACAAAGCAAACAAAAACATAAAGTGGGGAAAGGACAAATGGTGCTGGAATAATTGGCTAGCCACATGTAGGAGAATGAAACTGGATGCTCATCTCTCACCTTATACAAAAATTAACTCAAGATGGATTAAGGACTTAAATCTAAGACCTGAAACTATACAAATTCTAGAGCATAACATTGGAAAACCCCTTCTAAACACTGGCTTAAGGCAAGAATTTCATGACCAAGAACCCAAAAGCAAATGCAATAAAAACAAACATAAATAGCTGGGACCTAATTAAACTAAAGAGCTTTTTCATGGCAAAAGGAACAGTCAGCAGAGTAAACAGACAACCCACAGAGTGGGAGAAAGTCTTTAAAATCTATACATCTCACAAAGGACTAATATCCAGCATCAATAAACTCAAACAAATCAGCAAGAAAAAAAGCAAATAATACCATTCAAAAAGTGTGCTAAGGATATGAATAAACAATTATCAAAAGAAGATACATAAATGACCAACAAACATACGAAAAAAATGCTCAAAATCACTAATGATCAGGGAAATGCAAAATCAAAAACACAATGCAATATCACCTTACTCTTGTCAGAATGTCCGTAATCAAAAAATCAAAAAACAGTAGATGTTGGCATGGATGTGGTGATCAGGGAACACTTCTACACTGCTGGTGAGAATGTAAACTAGTATAACCACTATGGAAAGCAGTGTGGAGATTCCTTAAAGAACTAAAAATAGAACTACCATTTGATCCAGCAATCCCATTACTGGGTATCTACCCAGAGAAAAAAAAGTCATTATACGAAAAAGATACTTGCACACGCAGGTCTATAGCAGCACAATTTGCAATTGCAAAATCATGGAACCAATCCAATTGCCCATCAATCAATGAGTGGATAAAGCCTGTGTGTGTGTGTATATATATATATATTCTATATATATCTCATATATCTATCATAATTATCATATATATCACATATACATATCTCATATATATCTCATATATGTGATATATATCATATATTAATATGCCATATATATCATATATTGTATGTGTAACATATATATGATATGATACATATATAATGGAATACTGCTCAGCCATAAAAAGGAATCAATTAAAGGCATTTGCAGTGACCTGGATGAAATTGGAGACTATCATTCTAAAGGAAGTAATTCAGGAATGGAAAAACCAAACATCATATGTTCTCACTGATATATGGGAGCTAAGCTATGAGGACACAAAGGCATAAGAATAATAAAATGGACTTTGGGGATTTAGAGGAAAGGGTGGGAGGGGGGCGAGGGATAGAAGACTACAAATAGGATGCAGTGTATACTGCTCGGGTGATGGCTGCACCAAAATCTCACATATCACTGCTAAAGAACTTACTCATGTAACCAAACACCACCTGTACCCCAATAACCTATGGAAAGATAAAAAATAAATTTTTTAAAAAATTTTAAAGATGGATTAAATGCTTAAATGTAAAACCCAAAACTATAAAAACCCCAGAAGGCAATACCATTCAGGACATAGACACAAGCAAAGATTTCATGACAAAGATGCCAAAAGCAATGGCAACAAAAGCAAAAACTGACAAATGGGATCTAATTAAACTAAAGAGCTCCTGCACAGCAAAAGAAACTGTCAACAGAGTAAACAGACAGCCTACAGAATGGGAGAAAAATTTTTGCAAACTATGTAACTGACAAAGGTCTGATAGCCAGCATCTATAAGGAACTTAAACAAATTTATAAGAAAAAACCAACCCTATGAAAAAGTGGGCAAAGGGCATGTACAGACACTTTTCATAAGAAGACATACCAGTGGCCAACAATCGTGAAAAAAAGCTCAACATCACAGATCATTAGTGAAATTATAATCAAAACCACAGTGAGATACCATCTAACACTAGTCAGAACAGCTACTATGAAAAAGTCAAAAAATAACACATGTTGGCAAGGTCGTGGAGAAAAAGGAACATATATACACTGTTGATGGGAGTGTAAATTAGTTCAGCCATTGTGGAAGACAGTGTGGCAATTCCTCAAATACCTAAAGACAGAAGTACCATTTGACCCAGCAATCCCATCACTGGGTATCTACCCAAAGGAATATAAAAGGTTCTATTGTAAAGACACAGTATATTGATTGCAGCACTATTTACAATAACAAAGACAAGGAATCGACTTAAATATCCACCAGTGATAGACTGTATAGTGAAAATGTGGTACATATACACCATGGAATACTATGCAACCATAAAAAAGAATGAAATCATGTCCTTTGCACTGACATGGATGGAGCTGGAGGCCATTAGCCTTAGCAAACTAACATAGGAACAGAAAATGAAATACTGTGTGTTCTCACTTATAAGTGGGAGCTAATTGATGAGAACACATGGGCACATAAAGGAGACAACACACACTGTGACATTTTGGAGGGTGGAGGGTAGTAGGAGGAAGAGGATCATGAAATACAACTAATGGATACTAGGCTTAATATGTGGGTGATGAAATAATCTGCACAAAAAACTTCCATGACTCAAGTTTACCTATGTAACAAACTTGCACTTGTACCCCTGAATTTAAAATAGAAGTTAACAATAACTCCTCTTTTGTTTTTTTTGATATTTAATTTTTGTGGATACATAGTAAGTTTATATATTTGGGAGTATACAGGATATTTTCATACAGGCATACAATGTGTACTGATCACATCAGGGTAAATGAGGTATCCATCACCTCAAGAATTTATCCTTTATGTTACAAACAAACAATCCAATTATACTATTTTAGTTATTTTAAAATGTACAATTAAATTATTATTGACTACAGTCACCCTGTTTTGTTATAAAATACTAGATCTTGTTCATTCTTTCTAACTATTTTTTGTACTCATTAAACATTCTCACATCCCCATCAACTTCCACTACCCTTCCCAGCCTCTGGTAACCATCTTTCTCTCTACCTCCATGAATTCAATTGTTTTAACATTTAGATCCCACAAATGAGTGAGAACATGTGAAGTTTGTCTTTTTGTGCTTGCCTTATTTCACTTAACATAATGATCTCCAGTTGCATCCATGTTGTTGCAAATGACAGAATCTCATTCTTTTTGTGGCTGGATAGTACTCCATTCTGTATATGTGCCACATTTTCTTTATTCATTCATCTGTTGATGAATGCTTAAATTGCTTCCAAATCTTGGCTATTGTTAATAAGTGCTCCAATAAATATGGGAGTGCAGATATCTCCTCAATAAACTGATTTCCCTTTTTTTGGCTTTTAGCTATATACCTAGCAGTGGGATTGACGGATTGTATGGTAGCTTTATTTTTAGTCTTTTGAGGAACCTCCAAATTGTTCTCCATAGTAGTTGTACTAACTTACCTTCCCACCAACATCGTAGAAGGGTTCTCTTTTCTCCACATCCTCTCCAGAATTTGTTATTGCCTGTCTTTTGGATATAAGCCATTTTAACTGGGGTGAGATGATATGTCATTGTAGCTTTGATTTGCATTTCTCTAATGATAAGTGATGTTGAGCACCTTTTAGTGTACCTCTTTGCCATTTGTGTGTCTTCTTTTGAGAAATATCTATTCAAATCTTTTGCTTATTTTTAGTCACTTTATTAGATTTATTCTTATAGAGTGAACATTTTAAATATCCTTGTTATTAATCCCTTGTCAGATGCATACTTTGCAAATGTTTTATCCCACTCTGTGGGTTGTCTCTTGACTTTGCTGATTGTTTCCTTTGCTGCACAGAAGATTTTCAACTTGATGTGATCCCACTTGTTCATGTTTGCTTTGGTTGCTGTGGTTGTGGTGTTTTGCTCAAGATATCTTTGCCCAGACAAATGTCCTGGAAATTTTCTCTAATGTTTTCTTGTAGCAGTTTCATAGTTTGAGGTTGTAGGTTTAAGTTTTTAATTAATTTGGATTTGATTTTTGTATAGGGAAAAAGATAGGGGTCAAGTTTCCTTCTTCTGCATGTTCATATTCAATTTTCCCAGCTTCATTTATTGAAAAGACTGCACTTTCTCCAGTGTATGTTCCTGGCACTTTTTGTCAAAAATGAGTTCACTGTACATGTATGGATTTGTTTCTGGGTTCTCTCTTCTGTTCCATTGGTCTATGTGTTTGTTTATTAACTTATGTTTGATTATAATTTTATCTCAATTGAATGAATGAATATTTGAACCAGTGTGAAATTTGTCCTTTCAAAAATGTCAGCTTCAGGAAGAATACAAGTGCAGCAGTAAATACAATTTTTTAAAAAGCACCATCTAATCAGGCAAACCAGTCAAGTAATCTAGGATATTAGGGGGTGGCAGAGCACAAAACCACATTTCACTGATATTAGATGCTATCAGTTCAAAGGGAGACATCTCCACCGGTGTTTCATCATTTCTAGTTCTCTTGTAACAAATACGTAAGTACATACAAACATAAAAATGCAAAAATAAACATCATAACTTCTCTAGTACTGTGCCAGTGGTGCTAAACACATTTTACTAGAAATTCTTTTAGAAAATAAACTATTTTTTATGGATTATATATGTAGTATGTGTTATTAACAATTTCATCTAATTTGATTTATAGAAATACATTTAAATCATTTTAAAGCTCAATTTAAAATAACTAAGAAAAAGTATCAGTTTTAGAAATGCAGTACTGGTAATGTATCAGTAGGTGTGAAGTTTTTGTTGTTTAAGACATTAACATCAAAATAAATGTATGATTCCATAAAGAAGTACTCTATGATTTTGATGAATTTGTTCAAACACTAATTCAGGTTGACATGGAGAAATTACTTTAGAAAAATATTAGAAATATCCTATAGGTTTTACCTATTTTCTTTTCTCTTATCTGTGTGTGTGGTGTTTGTGTGTTTATATTTCCTGTCATAATGCTTTGTAAATATATCCTAATAGAGAGAAAAATCTAACCAAACCAAACAATATGAAACAACAGTTTTTATAAATTCATCGGAAAACATCATGTAGATTTGAGTTGAACAAGCCTAACCACAGAAACAAAATACACAGATCATAGAACAATTCTATATATATTGCTGAAAAATGATACTCAAATTGTCCATTATCTTTTGTATTGAAAAAAAAGAATCCTATGCTATCACATGACAAATCTAAGAGCTGTTTACCATCAGGTCCAAATCTCATCTGTTTTTAATTTCACATTTTCAAGTAGATCTGGCAAATTCTCTTGATAGCTATGAATGCTCATAACATTTCTTAAACCATATTTCATACTCTTAAATTATCAAAGTAATGCAAATCAGTGTTTAATGCCACTAATTCCTTGAACTTTTTTTTCATGATAGGTATTAACCTTAACCTAAATAAAAGTAAATAGGATCTATTAAAGCTCCTAAGAGGAAAATAATTTTCTTCTCAGCTCAGTGAATTCATTGCAAACAGAAGCAATATTGTGGCCTAATATGAGTAGTGAACAGTTTGTACACTGTTGACTCATCTACAAATCTCCATTTACTTAGTAGTAAATCAATGTAATCTAGACTGCAACCCATGGTGTTGCTGTAGTCGTAGTGAAGACTATACATCCAACTTTGTTAGTGTTGTTTGATCCTCTAATTAGAATATGAAATATAGAGTTTTAGTGACCCAGTAGAAAAATTAATGGAGAGAAAATTTAAATACGCTATGATCAATTTTGAATGCTTTATGTTTTAGGATTCTATACAGGATACAAAAGCTGCATAATACTTTGAGACAGAATACTTATTCAGTTGGATTCAATAAAAATTTTAGATCCTATTATATGCCAGAGTCTGTGCTAAGTATTGTAAAAACATACCAATAAAAAAGTAAGAAATCTTGCCTACAATGAGCTCATGGAATGGTATATGAGAAAATATATACCCAATGACCTTAATGCAGTTTAATGGGATAAGGGCCATGGAAGAATTTCAAGTTGCAATAGATAGGCAGATGATGGAAATACTTGCTTTGTCTCCTAATGCTGCAAAATGGTTCATCTAGGGGAAAGTGGCATTTTAGGAGTCCTTCAATGAATGACATCTCTTTCAAAGATGGAGGTGGAGGAAAGAGCAATGTAGAAAGATTCATTTTCAAGGCATAAATAGTAAAACGATTTTAGGACACAGTGAAATATTCCCTCCGCCAGTATTATCGTGGAAGAAAATTGAAAACGGGTGTTGGAAGGGAGATGGCATATTGCCATCTGTAGAAAATGGTAATTAATAGTATATACAGAAATAAGTAAAAAATTTTATTAAACAAAGGGAGTGACATGGTCAGAATTAATTTGAAGATTATTTTCATGCTAGCTTCTATGAACCGTTAATGTGAAAAGCGAACCTGTACCTCAGCAAAAAAATCATAATTGGTCAAAATTATTTAAAACAAACATTTAACCCCCTTACTCATAGGGCAGAAGCTCTACCCCAGGCACAACAGGCTAAGAATACTGGGGACCTAGTGGCCCTTGTCCCAGCTGCTCATTGGCTGGAATTTCCACACTAGGAGAAGCAAGTTAGAAAGACCAGAGGCTACTATGCCACCCAGTGTTCTGCAGGGCTATCATGCTAGTTATCTGCTGCAGAGCAGGCGCTCAGAGAGTTTGCCAAGTGAGAAGAGGCAGTCAGTAAGAAAAGAGACCTCCAAATCCCTCTCCAAAGGAAAAGACTTTATTGAAACAGAGACTGAGAAAGCTCAAGCCTAAAGTTGCTATCAACAACAATGGAGATTTTGGTGGTGAGCAGAGAAGTTAGTAGCTCAATGAGACTGTCAAGCTAAACCACAAGCCAGGTAGTTTACCAGAGAAGCAGAGAAAGAAACACCCTGTGTAGTGAGAACAAAGCTCAAAGTCTAGCCTTGAAAAGGATTCCTAGAAAGGTGCAGTTTACAATTCAAAGTATTGTCAAAAAATGTCCTCAATAAAACACTAGCAAACCACATCATGCAATATATAAAACAGAGTATACGTAGTGACCATGTACAATTTATCTCCAGAATTCAAAGTTAATTTAATGTCCAAGACACAATAATGTAAAACATTTGATATTTGGTATTATCAAAATATAGAGGACAAAAAATGCAATCATCTCAAAAAATGCAGGAAAATTTTTTGAAAATATTCTACATTGCTTCATGACAAAAACACTCAACAAATCAGGAATAGAAGAAAGTGCATTCAACCTGACAAAGTATCTATGAAACTTTCACAGATATCCTCATATTTAATAATGAAAAACTGAATGATTTCCCTAAAAGATCAAAAGAAAGATAAATATGGCAATTCCTACCACTTCTATTCAACATTTTACTGGAGGTCCTAGTGAAGTCACTTAGCAAAGAAAATAAAATAAAAGGCATCCAAGTTGGTAAAGAAGAAATAAAACTGTCTCTATACATGGATAATATAATCTTGCATAGTAAAAATCCTACAGAATCCACTAAAAATGCAAATAGAACAAATAAATTCACTAAGGTTGCAGGATACAAAATCAGTACAGAAATACCAATTGCATTTCTATATACTAGAAATATCTATTCTACTACTATATAGTAGTAATGAGTCATCCTAAAATTAAAATCAGGGCATAATTTTACTTGCAATGGCATACAAAAGAATAAGATACATAGAAATGAATTTAACAAAGAAGTATAAAACTTAAACTCTGAAAACAACATTACATTGCTGAAAGACACAAAAATCCTAAATAAATGAAAAAACATCTCATAATCATGGAAAAGAAGACTTCATATTGTTAAGATGGCAATACTTCCCAAATTTACCTGCCTAGTAAGTGTAATCCCTATTAAAATCCCAGCTAGCTTCTCTGCAGAAACTGACAAATTTGTCCTAAAATTAATATAGACATTGAAGGCATGCAGAATAGCCAAAACAATCTTTAAAAAGACCAAAGGTGAAGCTGACACTTCTATACTTCAAAGCTTAAAACAAAGCTACAGTAATCAAAGGAATATGGTACTGGCATAAAGCTGGGCATATATATCAATGGAATATAACATAGAGTTCAGAAATCTACCTTCACATTTATGCTTAGTTGATCAGTAGATATGCCAAGATAATTCAATGGGGAAACAATATTCTTCAGCAAATGGAGCTGAGACAACTGAATATCCACATGCATTAGAAAGAAGATAGATGTATACCTCATACCATATGCAAAAATTAAGTCAAAATGGAAGTATAAGAGCTAAAGTTTTAAACTTTTGTGATCTCAAAATAGGGAACGGTTTCTTGAATATAACACCAAAAGCAAAGGACGAGCAACAAAAGACAAAATAGATAAATTGACTTCATTGAAAAATATTTTTGAAAGTTTGTGTTTCAAAGGACACCATCACAAAAAGTTAAAAGACAACCCACAGAATGGAAGAAAATAGTTGTCAATTATGTATCTGTTAAGGGGATTGTATCTAGAATATATGAAGAAATCTAACAAATCAATAATGTGTAGATAAATAGCCCAATCTTCTTTTTTATTATTATTATACTTTAAGTTTTAGGGTGCAGGTTTGTTACATATGGCACATGTATACATAAATAGCCCAATCTTTAAATGGGCAAAAGATCGGAGTAAACATTTCTCCAAAGAAGACATACAAATTGCAAATAAACACATGAACAACGTTTGATATCATTAACCATCAGGGAAATGCAAATTAAAACCACTATGAGATACAACTTCACATAGTATGACTATTATAAAAAAGACACATAATAACAAATGTTGGTGAGGATGTGGAGAATTAGAACCCTCCTACACTGCCATTGGGCATGTAAAATGGTGTCACTGCTTTGAAAAACAATCTCGCAGTTCCTCTAAAAGTTAAATATGAAGTTAGGCTATGACCCAGCAATTTTGCTCCTAAGCAAATGCCCAAGAAAAATAAAAATGTATGTCAAACAAAAATTATACAAAAATGTTCATAGCAGCAATATTCACAGTAGGAAAAATTGAAAACAACCCAAATGTCTATCAACTGATAAATGGATAAATAAAATATGGCATAGCTATACAAAGGAATATTGCTTGGCAATAAAAAGAAATGAAATACTAACACATGCTACAACATGGATAATCCTTAAAAACATTATGATAAATGAAAGAAACCAGTCACAAAAGACCACATATTCTATGATTCGATTTATACAATCCAAAATAAGTTTGTCCAAAATAGACAAATCTATATACACATGGTAAATTTGTGGTTGTCAATACCACAGGGAGTTGCGGGGAGGAAAACTAGGGAATGCCTAATAGGCATGGTGTTTTTGGGGGGTTGATGACAATGTTTTGAAATTGATTGTGGTGATGGTTGTACAACTGTGTGAATATACAAAAAGCCACTGAATTATTCACTTTCGATGGATTAATTGCATGGTATGTGACTTATATCAAAATAAAGCTTTTATTATAAACAAGAAGGATATCCCACATCAGTGAGAATGGAGGGAATAAGCTAGAAGAAAGAGGGGCCATTAGAAGATTAATATATTTCTTCTGATGGGACACATTGAAAATAGGATCTAGACAAATGTAAGCAAAGTCGTATATCAGATGTAAAGCATACTTGTGACTAGATAAAAGATGTTTCTCAATTGAGAAATCACCAATGAGTTTGTACTTTGGTATTTTTTCTTATACAATATATTGTATTACTACAAGAAATAATTTATGTTTCAAAAGATAGCTGAAAACAACTTCAGCTTTTAACTTTTTAATTTCTAGAAATTATCATATTTTGGTCTGTTTATTGCATTACACTTGCAATGTTACAGTGGCAGTTCTTTCCTCTTGGAAAGTTGCACTTTATAAAATAGAGCATCTTGTTTGTGTTTCCATTTGCAAATACAGACAGACATCTAAAATTTCACAGTCATGTTCTATTCATTTGATTATTCAAGTACTAAAATATGAGCTTTCTGGATATTTCAGCAAGAACAAATTCTTCACGTTTCCATAGTGACAATTAAGGGAAAAATTAGATGAAATTGAAGTTCAGAGAAGATTAACAGAAATTAAGAATGCTTATTAATGAAGAAATACTAAACAGGAGAGCCTAAATATGGAAAGCTTAGAAAAGCAGAAAATTAAGCTGAAACACACTTATATACAAATACCTGACAGATGTCAAAAGAGGGAGCAGTGATACATAGAAGCCAAAAATAAAGATAAATAATAAACAATGTCATGTTAATAAAGAAAATAACATCAAAATAAAAACTGAAAGAGTAAGTTAACTGATAGTATAAACTGTAGCAGAAAAATCTGATATTAAAAATGATTGCTAGATTATAAATTATAAAAAATGTTTTTATTGTACATTAGTATAGAAGAATAAAGTTATGGTAATGATGACCTTTAAGAAACAGCATTAGCATACTTTTTATTACTTTAAGAAGCAAAGAATGGGGCAGCTGAGCAAAGAGATACACATTCTATGCTGATAATCACTTTTCAGAGATATGACTTTGGGAGATATTACATAACCTCAGCAGGTTTCTTTCCAATATTCATGTCTCCTAATATTGACCTCTATGGCCAGCATAAAATGAGCGAAGATTATTTTTATACAGTAATGCAATATCTTTCATTATAGAGTGAAGTGAGTTTTGGAAGCATTACTTGGAGCACATAATTCTTATTCATTGTATTTCACTTGCTAATTACAATAATGGAGATGCGAAATTTCTGTTGCATCTATATCTTTCCTAATATGGGAATAATATATGCCATATGACACAGGGACAATAGTGAACGTTCAAAGGTATTTGAATATCCATTTTTTTCCTATAACTGGCCATTAACTTTAGGCAATTTACTAGTTGTCTTCGTTTCTTTAACTGAAAATACCACTTTCTCCTTGGCCTTAAGTGGAGATGTTCAGCCTATGCCTCATACTGAAGGGACTAATAATAACAATTTAACAAAAAAGAAAAATACTTACAAGCAATGATCTTTAGATTTAGAGCAAGTTCCCATTTTCCTGACTACCTGGATTTTTATTCCCTTGCTTCATATTTTAGCTTCTGATACCAATCTTAGATTATCCTAGATGTATTGATTAATTTTATTTCACTGATTTGCAATCTTAACCCGCCCTACTCAACACTTAATTCTATGTACTTCAAAGATGAAATTTAGGCCCGTCGTGATGGCTCATCCCTGTAATCTGAGCATTTTGGGAGGTTGAGGATGGAAGATTGCTTGAGCCCAGAATTTCAAGACCAGCCTGGAACACTTTAAGTAACCAAATGTGTGGTAAAATAAGACACAGGTTGTGGCCATGGTTGAGGTATTATATGGAATCTGCAATTTGTGTATGAGAGAACTTTTGGTGACGGCAAAAGAAAAGCTATTCTCGTTCAAAATTATAAAATACCTAACATTGCATGCTAAGTAGTTTCATGTTCACTTTTTGTATGTTTTAAAGTAGATGAATATCACGAGCATTAGGAGAAAAAGAAAAACAGTAAAATATGAATTCTAAGGGAGGACTCTGTTTCACTAGGGCGGTTGTAATTCACACTTTCAAATGAAGTTCATTAAGAATGTGATAAAGTATTTGATGGTTAAGTCTTTGGTGTTCTTTGGGAATACAACTTCATAAATTGGTAGACACGAAAGCAAGAATAAGTAAATTATATTTCCTCTTGTGGTCAAGATAGTGTAGAAGAGACCAAATTTACTTTCTGATGAAACAGCTAAAAAGTCAGGGGAGAAATAAAACAATAGTTTGCAAGGCTAACATCAAGCTGGACATCAAACAGCAGAGACTGATCCCTGAGAGATGGGAAACAAATGAAATGGGCCCTGTAGTTGCCCCAGATTATTTATTGAGTTTCTGGGCCATTGCTCATGGAAGGAGAAAAACAGGCAGAGACTAGCAGTGTCACTAAGTTCAGAAGATGGAGCTAAGACACTCCAGAGAAAAAGGTAAGTAGAATTTTCAAGTCAGAGTACCAGAGAGGAGAATAATGTACAGAGAAAGAACTTCAGAAAGTTGCAAAGTCCTACTCTCAAGTTAATGCTTCAGCAGATTACTGATCAACTCATGTATGTGAGTAAATGACCTAAGGCCAGGGCAGAAACTGTTTACAAGAATTATAGATAGTGGTCTCTGACACTCACACAGAGTCAAGAACAGTGACTTTTCCTGTTGGCCAGTCTAGAGAACCTCAAGATTCAAAGGGAATTGGAAAACGTATGCGGAAGGGTATTGCCACAGTAGTGGGGAATATTTAGCCATAGATTGAGCACTGCTCTATTTCTGTCTTACAAAGTATTTTTAAAAACCCCAAAAGTAACAAACTATCTCCAAGCAACTTAACAGCATTGTAGAACAAAAGTCAAAAACATTCATAAAAGTACATTATCCATCAGCCAATAAGGTAAAATTTACAGTGTTTGGTATCTGATAATAAATTGCCAGGGATGTAAAGAGGCATTAATCTTCCTATAATGAAGAGATGAGATAATCAAAAGACGTCCAAAATTAACAAGATATTAGAATTATCTAAAAGACATTAAAATAATTGTCATAACTCTACTCAAAGTGTTCAAAAATTAAGTAGTGAATCAGAAGATATAAAGAATTCTTAAATCAAACTTCTAAAAGTGAAGAAAGTGTAAGATTAAAAAAAATTGGGCATTCATGACATGTAAGACATTGCAAAAGAAAAGATTAGTGTACTTGAAGACTTGGCAAGATAAGTCATCTAAAATAAAATGCAAAGAAAAGAGAAAATTTAAAAAGATCATAGTATCATTTAGGTGTGAGAAAACTTCAAGCAATTCAAATATATGTGTAATTGAATTCTCTGAAGAAGAGATGAAGGGAGAACAGAAAACATATTTGAAGAGACAATGACAATTTTTCCCAAATTTGATGGAAACCAACAAATCCAAGAATTTGTACAAATCCACACCATAAGAAACATAAAAAAGACACCAAACCACATAATTATATTGCTTAAAAATAATGATAAACAGATAATATTAAAAGCAACCAGGGCCGGCCACGGTGGCTCACGCCTGTAATCCCAGCACTTTGGGAGGCCGAGGCAGGTGAATCACGAGGTCAGGAGATGGAGACCATCCTGGCTAACATGATGAAACCCGTCTCTACTAAAAATACAAAAAATTAGCTGGGCGTGGTGGTGGGTGTCTGTAGTCCCAGCTACTCGGGAGGCTGAGGCAGGAGAATGGCATGAACCTGGGAGGTGGAGCTTGCAGTAAGCTGAGATTGAGCCACTGCACTCCAGCCTGGGCAACAGAGTGAGACTCAGTCTCAAAAAAAAAAAAAAAGCAACCGGAGAAAAATGGCATGACACACAAAGAAACCAAAATTAGGGCAAAATCAGACTTCTTGGCTGAAAAATGCAACTGAGAAAAGAGTGGAGCAGTCTATGTAAAATATAAATTTAAAAAAATCAAACTAGAAGTCTACAAACAACAAAAAAGCATATTTTTAAAACAAGACAAAATAAGGACTTTTCAGCCATGCAAAGTGAACAAATTCATCACCAGCAGAAATGGAATATAAAAAATATGTTGAGTAATTTGCCTCAAACAGAAAGAAAATTACAGCAGTAGGAAATAAGGGTCTACAAAAAGAAATGAAGAGTAGTCAAATTGATAACTCCATGAGTAAAAATGTAAGATTTTTTACAAATTAAAATAAACAGAAAATGTAAAATAAATAGTGTTGTATTATTTAAGCAAAAGTAATTTTTGAAAAAGTACTGTGGATTTTATAACACATATAAAGCAAAATGCATGCCAAGAAAAGAACAAAATGGGAGGATAATTAAAATAGAAAACAGAAAAACAACAGAGATAAATCAATAAAATGAAAAGCTGCCTCATTCATAAGATTCATAAAACCTATGAACCTCTGGAGGGGTTCCAAGATGGCCGAATAGGAACAGCTCCAGTCTACAGCTCCCAGCATGAGCGACGCAGAAGACGGGAGATTTCTGCATTTCCAACTGAGGTACCGGGTTCATCTCACTGGGGCTTGTCAGACAGTGGGTGCATGACAGTGGGTGCAGCCCACTGAGCATGAGCCGAAGCAGGGTGAGGCATCGCCTCACCCGGGAAGTGCAAGGGGTCAGGGAATTCCCTTTCATAGCCAAGGGAAGCTGTGACAGATGTCACCTGGAAAACCGGGTCACTCCCACCCTAATACTGCACTTTTCCAACAGTCTTAGCAAACGGCACACCAGGAGATTATATCCCGTGCCTGGCTCGGAGGGTCCCACACCCACAGAGCCTCACTCACTGCTAGCACAGCAGTCTGAGATCTAACTGCAAGGTGGCAGCGAGGCTGGGGGAGGGGCGCCCGCCATTGCTGAGGCTTGAGGAGGTAAACAAAGAGGCCAGGAAGCTCGAACTGGGTGGAGCCCACCACAGCTCAAGGAGGCCTGCCTGCCTCTATAGACTCCAACTCTGGGGGCAGGGCATAGCCGAACAAAAGGCAGCAGAAACCTCTGCAGACTTAAATGTCCCTGTCTGACAGCTTTGAAGAGAGTAGTGGTTCTCCCAGCATGGACTTTGAGATCTGAGAACGGACAGACTGCCTCCTCAAGTGGGTCCCTGACCCCCAAGTAACCTAACTGGGAGGCACCCCCCAGTAGGGGCAGACTGACACCTCACACAGCTGGGTACCCCTATGAGATGAAATTTCCAGAGGAACGATCAGGCAGCAACACTTGCTGTTCAGCAATATTCGCTGTTTTGCAGCCTCCACTGCTGATACCCAGGCAAACAGGGTCAGGAGTGGACCTCCAGCAAACTCCAACAGACCTGCAGCTGAGGGTCCTGACTGTTAGAAGGAAACCTAACAAGCAGAAAGGACATCCACACCAAAACCCCATCTGTACATCACCATTATCAAAGGCCAAAAGTAGATAAAACCACAAAGATGGGGAAAAAAACAGAGCAGAAAAGCTGCAGGCTAATCTTATCTAGGTACATAAACACTCACACACACATGCACACACACACACATACACACACATGCTCCTCCTGCATTCCTGACTCCAGTCAATATTCCTTTTCTTACCTCTGTGTCTGTCTTGTGTCTTCATACATAATCTTCTCTATTGTTAGGACATCATTCAGACCATGTGATCCTGTTTCAGTGTCTCCCCACCGAAGTCAATTTCATGATTACTTTTATTAAGATCTTATGTCTGTAGACAAGGACACTCGTTTTCCAGTTGTCTTCCACTAAAGAACTTACTTCAATATCCTAGAGAAATGAGTCATTAATGCCTTCAAATTCTGAGAAATCCCCATACTTATTTATTCTGACTTCTGAGGGGCCAATACCATGCCTTATGGCTCAGAGTTAACTGGTTTCTGAGGTTGTCCACTGAAGCCTTGGACTTCATGCAGCAGCATTCAATGTTTAGTTCTCTTCAACAAGAGACAGACCTACTTTTCCACATTTGGTTATGTGACCTTGCACTTCAAGGAGGATATATCCTTATCTACACAATGGACACCATATCATCAAACTCAAATTCTGGTAAGACTTAAAGGATTACTTACTGGAGTGCCTAATGCCTCAGGCATCATAGAATTGATACTCAACATATATTTGTGGAAGAGGAGGATGAAATAGGAAAGGAAGAAGGGTACAAAAAATCACAGCAGAAAGAGACTATAAAAGTAACTTTTTGATGGTGTTTATCTGGTGATAGCCTTCATCTATATCACACATAATCTTAGCTGTTGCTTAAGATGAAAAAGTGGTGCTTGCTTTGGCTGCACATATACTAACATTAAGATGAAAAAGGATAATTGCAAAATAAAAGCCACTGGTTAGGGCTTCTATTGCTTATTGGTAATGGCTACTTCCAGGGAAATAAACTTTCCTCAGAGAAATTATGTGAGTTTCTTCATACTGTAATCACACCCATTGGTATTAGTTGTCACACAGAAATAAACAGAAACAATGTTTGATCTATTTGGATTTTTAACACCAGTTAGACTTCTGAAAACATCCTGACTTCAAATCCATAGTTTTTAGAAATACAGGGAATTCAAGAGAGCTTAATATATCATTGTGCCTGTGTAGCCTAAAGCTATGAATGCTATATTCCATAAATACTGTAATAATCAACTGTATTACAACATCACATAGGTTTAATAAAGGCTTTGGAGAATTTGACTGTAGGAACGTGTGATTTAACAAATATCAAGGGAATTATTTTTCATTTCTGAGAGTCTGCATGAATGAGCAAGGCCTTTGGGGCTAGGCAAAAATGAGTTCATATCCCAGTACTGCCTTGTTCTTATCCTGCAGCTATAGGTGAGTTGCCACATAGAATCTCTGTTTCTTTACTTTAAACATAAAATAGAAATACCCATTTCACTCGAAGTTTTGAATATTAAGTGAGATATGAATGATTGTACATGTCTTGGTTGTGAATTAATTTTGCCTCTTTTCTCTTCATCATTTGGGAATGAGTGAAGTTGTGTTAAACGTGAAAGATCTCTTTGCTTTTCATTTCCAATGTGAAAAAAGGAAACTTAAGAAAACATTAGGCAAAACTTGATTAATTTCTTTAATTCTAATGTTTAGACCCAATATATGTGATGAAAGAAATACTGAATTGAATTGGAATATGCTACCAATAAACATCTTTTACTTGTCCATTCAGTTGTATCTTAAGTAAAATAAGACTAGACTACACAGAAAATACTGAGAAATGAAATTGCCCCCAGGGACCATAGAAAAGTCAACTATTAGTCTTTGTAACATAAATTTTGAGCTCAATGGGAACTGAAGAAAGTGTACCTCATTGAACATCAGAAGATAAACAATATCGGAAATATGCTTCTTGCTAACACTCAAAAACATATTTTCAGGCAGTAGACTAGCGATTAAAAACTTAGTCACAGTCGTATGCTATTGTAATCTAAAAAGTGACCATTATTACTTTATCATTTTCAAATTCTTCCTGACAGTGGAGTTGAGTAAGGAGGAAAATAACCATATGCTGTTAATATCACAAGTTATAAATACTTACCAATTCTTGCATGCTATCGAAATATAGAAATTAAAATCACCCTTGTTCAGGATAAATGTGACCTAAATATATATAGAAACACATGTCCATTCTACAGCACCAGAGACACACTATGCAACCTGACTTCTTTCAATCCTAAAACAGATTCTTAACCAGCGAAGATAAAGAGTTAGGTCATTTAATATTATGAAAATGGTTGCATTTCTATTGACTTTCAGGAGCCAGTCCCCATGTATACATGGAAGTCGAAGAGTTCCTTATGAGAACATAATATGTACATCAAAGGCAGCAGTGATATGTTTCTTTTCTTGATAAACACTGAAAGAATGAGCCCTAATTCTTGTATAATTTATAAGTTTGATATGTGAGGGTCAGAGTGAACATTATTTTAGGTAGGAGGACAGACGGGCAAATATGGGAAGGTAGCATAACAACTGCCTAAGCCCCAGAAGAAAAAATAATAATAATACAGTTATTTACTAGCCCCAAAATTTATAATGTAGGTGTTGTCCCTTGTGGTCTCTAGCTTGCAAACTGCTTAAATATTTGTTAAAAATAATTCTGACCCCATAATATCTCAAATCTTTTCTCATTTGAGTGGTTGACAGCTACATGTGATTCTTTTAAAACATTTTTTTATTGTGATAAGAGCACTTAACATGATATCTATCCTGCTGACAAAAATTTAATTGCACAATACAGTATTGTCAACTATAGGCAAAATGTTATACAGCAGATCTCTACAACTTTTGCATCTTTATATCAATGGAAGAGTAATTCCCCATTTCCACCTACCCCCACCTCCTGGAAACCACCATTCAACTGTGTTTCTATGTGTTTGACTATTTTTCATACCTTATATAAGTGAAGTCATGCAGTATTAGTTTTTCTATGACTGGCTTATTTCAGTTTTCACAATGTCTTCCAGTTTCATCCATGTTTTAGCAGACGACAGTATCTCCTTGTTTTCTAAGCCTGAATAATATTTAATAGTATATTCATATCACATTTTCTTTGTCCGTTAATCTGTTAACAGATATTTTGGTTGTTACCATATTGTGGCTGTTGCAAATAGTGCTGCAATGAACGTGGAAGTGCATATATCTCTTCAAGATTATGTTTTAAATGTGTTTGGATATCTACCCAGAAATGGAATTACTGGATCATATGCTAATTCTACTTTTAATTTTTTGAGGAACTACCATGCTATTTTCCATATAGGAGTTCCTTCTATATTTTGCACCATTTTACCTTTCTGCAAATAGTATATAAGCCTTCCAATTTTTTCACAGCCTCATCAACACTTATGTTTGTTGTCTTTTCATAAATGGTAGCCATCGTAACAGGTGTAAGGTAACATCTCCTTGTGTTTTTCATTGGCATTTCCCTGATGGTTAATGATGCTAAACATCTTTTCATATACCTATTGGTCATACGTATGTCTTGTTTGGAGAAATACGTGTTCAAGCCCTTTGCCCATTTTAAAATCAGTTTTTTATTTTTGTTCCCATTGAGTTGTAGGAGTTCCTTCTTCTTTTTTTTTTTCTTTTTATTTTTGAGACGGAGTCTTGATCTGTTTCCCAGGCTGGAGTGCAGTGGCGAGATCTCAGCTCACCACAACCTCCGCCTCCCGGGTTCAAGCGAATCTCCTTAGCCTCCCAAGTAGCTGGGACTACAGGCACGCGCCACCATGCCCGGCTAATTTCTGTATTTTTATTAGAGATGGGGTTTCACCATGTTGGCCAGGCTGGTCTCAAACTCCTGACCTCGTGATCTGCCTGCCTTGGTCTCCCAAAGTGCTGGGATTACAGACGTGAGTCACCGCGCCTGGCCGAGTTTTAGTTCCTTCTATATTTTGAATATTAATCCTTTCTCTGATATACAATTTGCAAATATATTCTCCCATTCTGTAAGTTGCCTTTTCACTCTGTTGATTGTTTACTTTGGCATGCAGAAGTATTTCAGTTTGATGTAGTCCAACTTGTCTATTTTTGGTTTTGTTGCTTGTGCTTTTGGTATCATATCCAAAAAATCATTACCAAGCCCAAGGCCGTGATACTCTTCACCGATGATTTCTTCTAGGAGTTTTACAGTTCCAGGTCTTACGCTGAAACCTTTAAACAACTTTAAGCTAATTTTTGTGTATGGTCTAAGAAAAGGGCTCAATTTAATTCTTCTGCATGCAGGTATCCAGATTGCTCTTCCTTGTTGAACAGACCATCCTTTCCCTATTGTGTATTCTTGGCATCCTTCTTGACTTATACCTTAGCTACCAGATTTTCTTTCTGTAGCCTGGGGGAAGTAACTATCTTCTAAAAATCATTCAATTGGCCGGGCGCAGTGGCTCAAGCCTGTAATCCCAGCATTTTGGGAGGCTGAGGCGGGTGGATCACCTGAGGTCAGGAGCTCAAGATTAGCCTGGGTAACATGGTGAAACCCCATCTCTACTAAAAATATAAAAATTAGCCAGGAGTGGTGGCGCATGCCTGTAATCCCAGTTACTTGGGAGGCTAAGGCAGGAGAATCACTTGAACCCAGGAGGTGGAGGTTGCAGTGAGTCAAGATCATGCCATTGCACTCTAGCCTGGGCAACAAGAGTGAATCTCTGTCTCACACACAAAATAAATAAATAAATAAATAAATAAATAAATAAATAAATAAATAAAATAAAAATAAAAATCATTCAATTGTACTATACATTGCATATCTGCAATCTTTCTTCATTCCATTTTTTAAAAGAAAATTCAACATTGTGAACTGTCAATTTTTTCACAATCTATTAATTCAGATTATCAGTATATACATTTAGTGGATCTGTATCCACTGGTCTAAAGTAACTCTAATAAAATCTACTATGAAGTACACTATTACTAGTGAGCCTCCAAGAGAAAAAACTCTGTAATGGAAACACGTAGACAAAATCTAAGGTTTCTTTTTTGTTGCTGTTAGAGATACAAGACAAATACTGTTAAAATTAAATATCAATTCAGGACAATAATATTTAAAAAGTCTAAAAGCCTTATGAATATATAAGCTACTTTTATAAGGTTTTGTAAGCTACGTTTTGAAGGTTAGTCCCTCTTTCTCAGGCTAATTTTGGGATTTATTGATTCTTAAAGCTATTCATATTTTGAAACTGCACTACCGACTAACACTTTCACCAGAAATAATATAAATGAAATTCCAGTGACTAGCTAGAAAAGAAAAAAAAAGTGACAGCACAAAAGAGAAGAGAAAATGTATTATATTTGTCTTCTAGACTTGGAGCAGAAGAGTTTAAGTTTAATATGCCTCATATAACTGTTTTTTGCATAATGTCTCCCCTATGGCTCATTTTCTTAGTTAATGATCAACATCAGCAACATGTCTTTTTAATGTGAATGTGAAATTTGTGTTCTACAACATGGTGATGGCAGAAGATGGCAGCAAGCTTTTCAATTATTTATTTATTTTCACTTACTTTTTAAAGTAAAGTCAGCTTGCCAATACTTTACAAAATTTATTATTCAGAACAAGAATCTTATTGATTTAGTCTTTGGTAAGAAAAGGAAAAAAATAGTAAAGTTCATGAGACTCCATTAACTAATAAACTGTAGTTCAATACTATACAAAAATACACCAAATATTTACATGTAATGAGGCTTGCAAACACTTAGCCCTGTGAGCTAAATCGATTAAAATATATACATTTGTAAACCCAATAACCACTACATTGAAAATATTTCAAATGTTTCTGAGAATTAGTTGTCAGTCTCTTTGGGGAAAAAGGGTTCCTGGTAAAAACAAATGCTTTCATATAATTTGGACAGAAAACAAGCAACAACCAATAGAGCTCACTGTTGATTTGATTATAATACATTTTATAAAAACATAATTTTATACATTTATTTATTTTTAGACCCTGTCAGCAGTTATTCTCCATACAGACAGATCTTGATTGAGTCCTCTTCTCCTTGGTAGTAGTAAGGAGGAAAGCTGAAGTAAACTTAGTCCACGCTTTCAGGAGTGATTGTCCTTCAATTCCCTTCATTTAAATCATCCCAGTCACCTGGGAAAAAGACAACCAAGCTTCCAAATTATCACTAATGCAAATATATAGAAAATTCATTTTGAAATTCTGAAGGAGGAAATGGAGTGGGACAGTAAGCAAATAATACTCTCTTTCTCTTGTATTCTGAATGTAATTCTTATATTTATTTAACACAAAAAATCAGAAAGTTCTAGAACCATACCACATTAAATTTAACAAAATTCTGTTGTAAAAAATATATTCCCAATGCAATATATTCTACAGTGAATTTCTTGCATCCCTTAAACTATTCTGTGCCTTGATATGCTCCCTAAATTATATTTAGTAAATAAGTCTAAGAAATTATTAGCATGAAACTGGTGCTTACAGTTTCTCAGTTCCCATGAGTTATTTAATGCTACTTGTAATCATATATTTAAGAAATATGTTTAGTATTTGTCAAACACAGTTTTTCCTAAGTTTTAATTTTCCTAAACTTATTTCACCTCACAACAGACTTTTTTTCAAGTAATAGCTACTAAACTTTCACAGACCAAGTGAAACATCCTTGGGAAAACATTCAACTAAGATAAATTTATCTGTATTTAAAATTTAGTTTAAGCAAGTAATATAAATTAATATTCTGAAATAACATATTACATTTATTTATTATAAATAAAAATTATAATAGTATTTCTGGAATTTAAATCATTAGTATATTAAATAATGCAATGGATCAAGGCAAAGGGTAAAGGAATCCAAAATTTTTTACCAAATGTTGAGCAAAAGGAAACGTAATGAAAGATATTATAGTTAATTAAAAAATTTG
The DNA here is from genome assembly GCF_000001405.40 of Homo sapiens. Classification (NCBI taxonomy): domain Eukaryota; kingdom Metazoa; phylum Chordata; class Mammalia; order Primates; family Hominidae; genus Homo; species Homo sapiens. The sequence continues at coordinate 34,465,608 of NC_000023.11, forward strand.
GTGATTAAGTCCAACTCAAAAAACCCATAAAATCAAAGAATATAAGAAACCAAGAAGACATCATCCAAGAGACACTAATTTCTTAAATCTCAGAGCTGAAAAAATAGCCAATTTTTCAGAGTGAAATAAGTCCATGGAGTAATGTATTGAGTTCAATGGATGAAAAAAAGGATCCGTACCAAGATACATGCTGATGAAATTTCAGAGTCTCAAGAATTAAGACTTTGGTGCAGTGGCTCATGCCTGTAATCCCAACACTTTGGGAGGCCAAGGTGGGAGGATCACTTGAGCACAGGACTTCCAGTCCAGCCTGGACAACACAGTGAGACATTGTCACTACAATTTTTTTTTAAAAAAGTAGCCAAGCATCATGGCATACACCTGTAGTCCTAGCTGCTTGGGAGGCTGAAGTGGAAGAATTGCTTGAGCCTAGGAAGTGGAGGTTGCAGTGAGCCCAGATTGCACCACTGCACTCCAGCCTGGGTGACAGAGTAAGACCCTGTTAAAAAAAAAAAAAAAAAGAAAGAAAAGAAAGAAGAATTAAGACTTTTAAAAAATTCAGAGCAAAAAAACCAAGATACCTAGAAAGGAATACTCATTCATATGGCCCATTCTGTGAAATAAAACTAATATGCAAATTTATCCATATTTTTATAATTCTATATAAATTAACAAAATGACTTTTTAATGAAGTAATGATATGAGATATTTTAGATAGCCATAGGAAAACATGACTTCTAAGAAGAAAGGAAAGCTCCAAAGTAATAAAAATAAGTACATTAGACTTTGAAAGTCAAGACATTTTCTTTTAAGCAGTTGGCAATTAGTGCAGTTGCAATCTTTGATTTTCCTTTGAATAATATCAGGTAAATTTTTATTTCTCTTATAGTGCTTACAAAGATACCTAGGAAAAAGCTTTTTTATAAAAATTTGAATTCTAGACAAATTCAGCTTGCACTATTCTTTAACCATATCAGTTTCTCATCACATAATAATTCCTTCTTTACATGTGCATTCATTTTTGAATAAAAGGTTTCTTATTTCCCCTGTTAGGCGCAGGTGAACGATGTTTTCTACCATTTCTAGCAGGTATATTTTGGTTCTTCCTGGTAAATGAGCCATGATCAATGCCTCTATTGCCTTTGGTTCATCCCCTGTAAAATAGACACGATATATATTTCTCTTAGGTTTCTCATTAAAACAAAGAAATGGATTATGTGTAAATCAAGATAATCTATATAACGTGATTTTGTATAGTGTCTGGCACCAGCTAAGCATCCAGAAAAATGTTGTTATTTTATTTAGTATTACTCCAATATGAAAATAAAAATATTCGATTTTCAATGTCCAAATATAGGAGAAGCAAAAATCATACAGATCTATTTACATGTCACAAATATTTTCTTTGTTGATTATAAGAATCTATGTTAAAGTGCAAAGATATTTAGTAGATTTCATAATCTAAAGTTAGTAAGACAAAATTTGATCTGGATATATTTTTAACTTTCTAACTTGGAAAAATTCCACGGAATGTATGCTAAATTCAAGAGCCAATGCTTCAACATTTCTCTTTAACAATACTCCAACTAGCAAACTCATATGAGTACTCTCTTTTCTAAAATTGGTGAGGATTAGAAAAAAACTTCTATATTCTAAATAATCCCGGAGTAAAACACACATTGAACCTCCTAAAGTTCAACTGGGCATCTTCAAATTTTTTCACGTGATTGTTCATTAAAAGAGTTTCTGTACTTAACAGCCACTTCCTTTTTTCACTTTTCAAAGTGGAATATTATACAAGGGACTCATATCTAATTCTTAGAACTTAACAATAAGAAAACAAAGAGCATAAAACAAAAACAATGCACAATGTACAGTAGTTTAACATGTACAGAGATATATAGCTAAAGAAATAATTACAGATGTGTGTACATAGTGGTTAGTATATTTGCTTATATTTTATAGCTGTTTGCTGAGAAACTAGAAAAAATGGCACACAAGTATCAACAAGTACATCCAGTACCCAGATCTTGGTTTCTAAATACCATTCTCCAAAATAACAAAAGCAAAACAAAACAGAGACGTCCTTGGAGAAATGAGTAATTCTAGGCCTGGGGCAGTGAAAACACAAGATGAGCCTGGAGTATTATGTAATGCCAGAAAATACGGAAGTGCTCAGAAAACAAAAGAATAAAAGCAGATCAGAAGGTCACAGTAGCCAGACCGGAAGAACACTCAATGGCCAAAGTTAAAACAATTTAAGCAACAAAATAAGTTAAAATTTAAAAATTATAACCCAATATAAAATAAAATTTCATGAGTCCATACTGATATAAATAATTGTACAAATAAATGAAGAAAAAGGTACAAGTGTTTCTTACAAATAATTTCAAAAAATATACGTAGATCCCCCTCCCTCCAGGAGGTGGAATTTAAGTGACCTCCCTGGAGTGTGGGCTGGATTCTAAAAAATAGTATATGGAAATGAAATAACACTAACGTTTTGGTGGAGAAACCTGACAGACCTCTCCTTAACCAAATGATCAATTTTAATATCAGCAGTGAGAAGTCAAGCTGTGATATGGTTTGGCTGTGTCCCCAACCAAATCTCATCTTGAATTGTAGCTCCCATAATTCCTATGTGTCATGGGAGGGACCCGGTGGGAGGTAACCAAATCATGGGGTTGGATGTTTCCCATGCTGTTCTCATGATAGTGAGTAAGTCTCATGAGAGCTTATGGTTTCATAAAGGGGAGTTCCCCTACACGAGCCCTCTCTTTGCCTGCCACCCCTGCCACCATGTAAGACGTGACTTTCCTCATTTGCCTTCCCTCATGATTTTGAGGCCACCCCACAAGATCTGATGGTTTTATAAGTGTTTGGAAGTTCCTTCTTCATTCTTCTGTCTCCTGCTGCCTTGTGAAAAAGGTGCTTGCTTCCCCTTCACCTTCTGCCATGATTGTAAGTTTTCTGAGGCCTCCCCAGCCATGTGGAACTGTGAGTCAGTTAAACCTCTTTCCTTTATAAATTACCCAGTCTCTAATCTGTCCTTATTAGCAGCGTGATAAGAGAGGAATACATGCTGGTATCATGTACTCCTCTGATAAGATGTGAGGAGAAAGACACTTTACTTCTATAGTATTCTTCTCCAAAATCTAGAATCCTAGCCTAATGATGAGAAAACATCTAACAAACCTAAGTCCAAGGATAGTCTACAAAATTCCGAACTGCATCTCAAAACCATAAAGGTCATGGGAAACAAGTAAAGGGTGAGAACCTGTCATAGACTTTAGATTAAAGAGACATGATAACTAAATTCAATGTGGTAGGCTGGGTTAAATCCTGGCACCAAAAAAGGACATGGGTGTAAAAAAATCTACAAATCTGAATAAAGTCTGAAATTTAGTTAACAGTAATATATCAATGTTAATTTTTTAGTTTAAATGCATGTACAATGTAAAATATTAATTTTAGGGGAAGCTGAGTGAAATGTACATGAAAAATGCTCTGTACAATCTTTACAACTGCTTCATAAATCTAAAATCATTCTGAAATAAAAGGTTTCCATGTTAAACTATATATTGCATTATGATGAATTATCAACAAATCAATATTAATTATATAAGAAAGAAAGCTGTAGCTTCTTTAAAGTGCATTCTTGTGGCCTCCCTCCCCATATATAGTAAATCATAATTTTTTGAAGTGGAGCCAGTCATCTACATTGTACATTATCTTTAAATTGTACACACCAATATATGAGAATTACTTTTCTAGAGCCTTGTGCCTTTTATAGGCCCTCAGAAGACTTTCACAGTAGTAACCAAATTTGGAGAAAATTAAGTTTCAGCATGTGCTAGATGGAAATGGAAAAATCAAATATTGGAGCCTGTGGACAAAATAATTATCTTAGATAACATGTACATAATTGGTGGGCCCACAGGATAACGAAGTCATGATAGAAGAGTAAGAAGAGACAAACCTTGGGGAGTAGCCAAATGGTAGTAAAAAAACTAGGAGTGAAAGCAACTTACTTATGCAAACAGCCCTTCTTGGGTTGAAGAAAACTGACATCACTGTAGAGTGCAGAGAAGTTACAACTTGTATTTAAACAGTGTTGACAATGTATTTAAACAGTGTTTCCTTTGGAAGAAAAAAGAATCAATAACAGTCAATAATGAAAATTTCTTATAATTTTACTTAAATATTCACTAAGATAAAATGAGTTATAAAAATGTGTATGCTTAAAGGTATGTTCTTATACCTATAAAATGAACAATTTACAAATATTACAAATAAAACTGTAAAACTAAAAATTAAGAAATTTCAACTGTATTTCACATTATGTTTTTGTCTTAAACACAATCACTTCTCACTTGAGAATAGATCTAGTTTCTGTGGTGCAAGTTTTCTTTTGAATGTGCCATGCCTATATACCCCGATATACTTGGAGTATCTTCATTCTTGAGCACTCTTTCTTACTGAAATGTTTGACACACCTTATTTTATATAATTATTCATAATGTAATTTTTCCTTCAGGAAATAAAAACCACCTTTTAAATATTCACCATTCGTGTTCTTTTCTATGAAGTTGTGAAAAGTAAAGTAGTACTTTATTCTGGTGAAGTTTGGTTTTTTTTCATGAATTACCGTAAAGAGTCTCAAGAACTTCAGCAGCTGAAGGTGCTGAAGCTTCTTTCTGGTAATTTATTTTTTCATTTCCTAATCATTACTTTGCAGCTAGTAAAATAAGTCAACATGACTATAAGGGTGAACATGACACAACTTCATTTTTACACTAAGAAATGCCATAAAGAGCAGAAATCTCACTTAACAGGATTGAAAACACACATCCAAATAAGAACATTGAATTTTTCTGGCTGTATTGAACCATAAAGAGATCAAGATAATCCTGAAAATGCTTAGAGTAATTTTTCATTTATATGTAACACAAGAAAAGATCTACAGGATTATCAAATATAAAGAGGATACTGAATTAGAATGGCATGAACACACCATATATTCAGTAATTATTTTCTTTAGGAAATAGTATGTTAGTCTGCCAGTCTTCGTGCTAAATGTTGAATGATTGCAACAGACATTGACTTTAATCTTTGGGCCCAAGTTCATGTTGTTTGCCAAAAGTGTGTGTGTGTGTGTGTGTGTGTGTGTGTGTATTCTATTATATATATATATATATATAATATAGAGAATATAGAGAATATATATAATATAGAGAATATAGAGAATATAATTATATATATTATATAATTATATGATATATATTATGTATATATTACAATTATGTATTATTTATATATAGAATATAATATATAGAAAATATATGTCTATTCTTTCTCTCTATATATATATATATTTTACTGGACCTATATATATATGACCAATAAATATATTCATTGCTAATAAGCTGATAATCTATAACATTTGTACTAATAATGCATTAGTCTTCCCTTTATAAACTATGTGGATGTATGGGGCGGGGTGGAGTGGGATGGGGGGTCTTGGGCCTTGTTGTCTGAGGGTGCTTGGGCATCTCAAGGCATAAAAAATGATCTGGAATTCATCCTAGTGGTTGCCTGTGGGAAAGAAGTGAACAGAATGAGATTGGGCAGGGACTAAAATAAACAAAGGGCTCTTCAACTTTACATGCAAACTTTTGTTTTTTAAATATGAAAATGTTAACATTTGTTGATTCTGGGTAGCAAGATGGGAGCCCTGGAAGATGGCATGACAGAGTACCTCTCTGACAAACTCACCCTGAGTGACAGTGACATAATGGGAATGGGCTGGCATCTCCATAGACTTCGTAGTAAATCCCTATAGTCACCAGTGCTGGGCATCTGTACTATTTCTACCAATAAAGTAGTTATATATACATATATATTATAGTAAGTCTTTAGTTAATGTTGTTGATAAGTTTTTGGAAACTGCAACTTTATGCAGAGGAACTTGTAAGGAAACCAATTTTATCCTAGGCTAATTGATATAAACAAGAATTAAGTTTTATGGCACATTTCCCATCACAAAAACATCACCAAACTTGTAAATAAAGACCCAATTATTTCTAGTATTAAATATGGAAATAAATGTGAGCTATACATACATTTAGAAGATTAATAGATACGGGCCAGGCGCGGTAGCTCATGCCTGTAATCCCAGCACTTTGGGAGGCCGAGGTGGGTGGATCACGAGGTCAGGAGTTCGAGACCAGCCTGGCCAGCGTGATGAAACCCCGGACTCTACTAAAAATACAAAAATTAGCCAGGCATGGTGGCGCGCGCCTGTAGTCCCAGCTAGTCAGGAAGCTGAGGCAGGAGAATTGCTTGAACCCGGCAGGTGGAGGTTACAGTGAGCCGAGATTGCGCCATTGCACTCCAGCCTGGGCGACAAAGCAAGGCTCCGTCTCAAACAAAACAAAACAAAACAAAACAAAAACACAAGAAGATTATTAGATACAAGTAAGATATTTATCCATGTATTCCAGTTCAGGGTGGAGAGTGGCTGGCACATATCTGAGAAACTATGGGAGCAAGGCCAGAATCAGCTCTGGCCAGCATGCCATCCCATCGCAGGTCTCTCTCACACACACATTTACGCACTCTGGGACAATGTAAACAGGCCAATGCATCTAATGTGCACAACTTTAGAATGTGGAAGGAAATGGGAGTACACGGAGAAAACCCATACAGACATGGGGAAAACGTGCAAATTCCACACAGTGACCCCTCTGGAAATTGATTTTTTTCCTCATCAACATTATAATGGAACAACGTTGAACAAATAAATGTTGAAGGAACAACGATATTTGAGTATACTTACATATGCATAGATTTAATTTTTGTTTATATATATTTCATATTTATTTATTTAAATATATGCATTTATTCTACCAGCAGCGGACTTTATTTTGAATCTCAAGACAAGATTCTGAATTTTTGTCTTCCTAAGATAGCCTTTGCTCAAAGCAGTTCAGTGATTGTGTTATTGAAAATGATATAGCTGCTTTCTAGGTCTTTTCTGAGCCTGCTTTTATTTCTGTGCTTAGGTTTTATGTATCTAATTTCTATTTGGTTTTCGTTGCTTGCTACCAAGAGAAACTTAGCTAATATGTCTTATTATCAATGCACCTTTATCTGACTCTGTTATAATTATTTATAGTGAAGTGAATAGCTCCTCTGGGGTAGCAAATGACATTTTTCTCTTTATTCCTAGTAGAGTCTGTTGAAAGGGAAAAGTATGAAAAAATGAAAAGGATAAAATAAAAACAATTGTCTCCATGAAAATAGAAGTGAATGCTGCTATCACAACCACCCCATCTCACTTGGAAGTGTGGTTCCATCATAATTTATGGGGTTTTAAACCAGCTTTTTTTTTTTTTTATGAGACAGAGTCTCACCCTGCCACCCAGGCTGGAGTGCAGTGGCACAATCATGGTTCACTACATCCCCACTTCAGCCTCCTGAGTAGCTGGGACTATTGGCCCACGCCACCACACTTGGCTAATTTGTGTATTTCTTGTAAAGATGTGGTTTTCCCATGTTGCCCAAGCTGGTCTCAAACTCCTGGACTCAAGAGATCCTTTCACCTTGGCATCCCGAAATGCTAGCATTATAGGCATCAGCCACTGTGCCCAGTCTTAAACCAGGTTTATTAGACTCTGTTCTCTATCATCATGTCGCACAAAATAGCAATAGGTGTTCAGTGAAAAAATGGATTCATGGCAATATTTTAGATATATTTGTATTTATATATTTCATGTATTTATATTTACATATTTTATTATATGTAATCTATAATATTTTATTATATATAATTTATAAAATTTTATTATAATATGCAATATAATTTATTATATATTATTTTATATATAAACATATAAGTATTTACATATTTTATACATATTTAGAAAATATTTGTGTTAATTGATTTAGCAAGATTTTTTGTTTGTTTTGTTTTCAGTTTATATTTTTTACTCTAGGAATTTTTGATCTTCAGTATAAAAACATACATTGTGAATTTACAAAAAGCAGATAAAATATTCAGCATTTCCCCAACTTCCTAATCATGAGATGTTTTTTCTACCAAATTTTACAGAATAATGCTCCAAAGAAAGTAACTCAGGAAATAACATCAAAGAATCTCATGGCGTGTTATTCCAGAAGCATATACCTGGCAGCTTAACGGCTCTTTCACTGAGAAGTCATTATGCAAAACTTTCCTTTGCTGTGAAAATTCCAGCACAGTAAATTTCAAAGCAAAAAGTGGAATTCAAGGCCCTCAGCATGAGAGTGTGTAGATGACACACACAACTATTTTGTTTCCTGATGGATTACTCCTAACACTATATAATTTTTCTGTTACCCTTTAATTTTCATTTTTAAACGAATGGTTTCTGGGAAAGATGACATTGATATTTATCCAATACTTAAAGTAGAGAAATGGTTCAGGGCTCCCATGTACCTTATATTCTCATCTTCCTCTACCTATATATTCATCTAATCAGCAGAAAGTTGTTCCTTTTGATTTTCCAGAACACACTGCTGAATTTTGACCAGTAATACACCCTTTGGTCAAAAGCAGTTAGTGCCTGCATTTTATTTATTTATTTTTATTTTTTGGAAAATGTGTAGCTGCTCCTTCTTTCATCAAAGCATGCTGAAATTCCCCGAAATTCATTAAACTATGGGAAAAAAAATAAGGCACATATGCCACACAGCATTTTAATAATAAAGATCTAGACATTAAGTAAATAAGTACTATGCAGCATCTTACATGCCACCTCTTTCCTCCAGTAGAGATTATCAGCATTTTCTATGTCACTATTCAATTTTGGATGGACATTCTTTTGCAGTGCATTCCTCTCTAGGTTCAGCAAAGGACACGTTAAGCTTCTCTCCAGCCCTAAAATGCATGTTATAATTCTATAAATTGAAACTGTGTTATTCCCAAACAATATTGGGCATGAGGAGACACCAAATCATAAACTCTTGCAGCTGCTTTAATTTAAATGTATCCTCATAGCTACTTCCAGGTATGCTTATATTCTTATAATTCCAATGAATTTGGTAAAGTACTTATTTTATTCCCAAGCAGCCATTAACATAACAGAAAACTACTATTTTCTTAATATGGAAAATATGTAATCATTTTTATAAATGATTATTTTATGCCTGAAAATAACAAGATGATTAAAAATGCTTCTTCACAAGAGCAGTGTTTCAGTCTGGCCTATCTTACTAACCACAAATTTAATTTCATGTGTCTGCTCTTTGGCTGTTTAATTCAACAAGCATTTGTTCTTAATAAATGAGTTGGTGCTGGGGAGTCAAAGTTAAATGAGACATGTACTTGGCCCAGTTAAGTGAGATGTATTAGCAGTTTGCCAATTTTTTAAGAATAAAACACACGTCCAATACGAGGTTATTTTAATGAACAATTAAATCAAGAGTGAATCTAGGAAGTGTCTTCATTTATATTTTTCCACTTCATCTTTATCAAAGAAGTAATACTACACAATCATTCAACAAACTTTCGCAAACAATAATGAAATAATTTTTATAAGGTTTGAGGAAGAATATAGGCCAATTGCTCTTTATATCAAAACAGTGGACTTCAAACAAATCTAAAGCATCATCGTAATGACAATTATCTGAGTAATTTATATAATGTGGAAATAATGTATGAAGGAACTACCTATTCCTGATAATGAGGGATGTTACCTCATGTCACCCTATGTCCATTTACATTCAATGTAATTACTATTGTCATTCGTTAATTGTTTTCTGATTGATTTGTAGACACTTCGTTCTTTTCTTCCTCTATTGTTGTCTTTGCTTTGTGGTTACCACAAGGATTAAAATAAATAAATAAATAATAAATAAATAAAATAAATAAAAATAAACAAAAAAACCTTATAGTTTAAAAAGGCCACATTAGAAAAAAACACTTTCTTTTTAAGTTCAGGGGTACATGTGCATGTCCGTTATATAGGCAAACTCGTGGCATGGGGGTTTGTTGTACCAATTATTTCATCACCCAAGTACTAAGACTAGTACCCCATAGTTATTTTTTTCTGATCCTTTTCCTCCTCCTACCCTCCAACTTCAAGTAGTCCCCAGTGTTTCTTGTGCCTCTCTTTGTGTCCATATGTTCTCACCCTTTAGCTCCCACTTATAAGTGAGAAAATGTAGTTTTGGTTTTCTGTTCCCGCATTAGTTTGCTAAGGATAGTGGTCTCCAATTCCATCCATGTTCCTGCAAAGGACATGATCTTGTTCTTTTTTATGGCTGCATGGTATACCATGAGGTATATGTATCGCATTTTCTTTATCCAGTCATCCATTGATGGGAATTTAGGTTGAATCTATGTGTTTGTCACGTGCACGTGTCTTTATGGTAGGACAATGTATATTCCTGAGGGTATATACCCAGTAATGGGATAGCTGGGTTGAATGGTAGTTCTGTTTTTAGATCTTTCAGGAAGTGCCACACTGCTTTCCACAATGGTTGAACTCATTGACGCTCTCACCAACAGTGTGTAAGCGTTCTCTTTTCTCCACAAGCTCATCAGAATCTGTTATTTTTTGACTTTTTAGTAATAGTTATTGTGATCAATGTGAGGTGTTATCTCATTGTGGTTTTTATTTGCATGTATCTAATGATCTGTGATATTGAGCTTTTCTCCATATGCTTGCTGGCTGCACCTGTGTCTTCTTTTGAAAAATATCTGTTCATGTCATTTGCCCATTTGTAATGGGGTTGTTTGATTTTTTTTTTCTTGTAAATTTGTTTAAGTTTCTTATAGATGCTGGATATTGGACTTTTGCCAGATGCATAGTTTGCAGATATTTTCTTGCTTTCTGTAGGTTGTCTGCTTATTGAGAGTTTCTTTTGCTGTGAAGAAGCTCTTTAGTATAATAGGGCCCATTTGGCAATATTCGTCTTTGTTGCAATTGCTATTGGCGTCTTCATTATGACATCTTTGCCAGTTTCTAAGTCCAGAAAGGTATTGCCTAGGTTGTCTTCCAGGGTTCTTATAGTTTTGAGTTTTCCTTTAAGTCTTTAATCCATCTTGAGTTGATATTTGTACATAGTGTAAGTAAGGGGTCCAGTTTCAGTCATCTGCTTATGGCTGGCCAGTTATCTCAGCACCATTTATTGAATAGTGTGTCACTTCCTCATTGCTTGTTTTGTCTGCTTTGTGGAAGATCAGATGTATGTAGGTTTGCAGAATTATTTCCGGGCTCTCCATTCTGTTCCTTTGTTCTATGTGTCTGTTTTTGTGCCAGTACCATGTTGTTTTGGTTACTATAGCTCTGGGGTATAATTTGAGGTCAAGTATATGATACTTCCAGCTTTGTTCCTTTTGCTTAGGATTGCCCTGGGTATTCAAGCTCTTTTGAGGTTCCATATAAATTTTAAAATGTTTTGTAGTTTCATGAATTTATTTTAAGGAATAGAATAGAATCTGTAAGTTGCTTTAAACAGCATGGCAATTTTAACAATATTTATTCTTCCTGTCCATGAGCATTGAAAGTTTTTCCATGGTTTTGTCACCCCGATATCTTTGAGCAGTGTTTTGTAATACTCATCGTGGAGATCTTTAACATCCATTGCTAGCTGTATTTGTAAGTATTTTATTTTTTTAAGGCAATTGTGAATGGGATTTCATTCTTGATTTGGCTCTGAGCTTGGCTATTGTTGGTGTATAAGAATGCTAGTAATTTCAGTACATTGATTTTGTATCCTGAAATTTGCTGAAGTTATCAGCTTAAGGAACTTTTGGGCTGAGACTATGTGATTTTCTAGATATAGAATCATGTCATCTCTAAACCGAGATAGTTTGACTTCCTCTCATTCTATCTGGATGCGCTTTCTTTCTTTCTCTTGCCTGATTGCTCTGGACAGAACTTATAATATGTTGAATAAGAATGATGAGAAAGGGCATCCTTGTCTTGTGCCAGTTTTCAAGGAGAATGCTTCCAGCTTTTGACCATTCAGCATGATATTGGGTGTGGGTTTGTCATAGACGGCTCTTATTATTTTGAGGTTTGTTTCTTCAATGCCTAGTTTGTGAAGAGTTTTTAACATAAAGAAATGTTGAATTTTATTGAAAGCCTTTTCTGCATCTATTAAGATAATCATGTGGTTTTTGTCTTTAGTTCTACTTATGTGATGAATCACATTTATTGATTTGCATATGTTGAAACAACCTTGCATCCCAGGGATAAAGCCTGCTTGATCATGGTTGATTAGCCTTTTGATGTGCTGCTGGATTTGGTTTGCCAGTATTTTGTTGAGGATTTTTCCATCAATGTTCATCAAGGATATTGGCCTGAAGTTTTCTTTTTTGTTGTGTCTCCACCAGCTTTTCGTATTAGGATGATGCTGGTCTCATATAATGAGTTGAGGAGGAGTCTCTCCCACTGAATTTTTTTGAATAGTTTTGGTAGGAGTTGTACCAGCTTTTCATCATACATTTACATCATACATCTACATCGTAGAATTGGCTATGAATCCATCTGGTCCTGGGCTTTTTTAGGTCCATAGGCTATTTTATTAGTGATTCAATCTTGTTGCCCATTATTGGTCTGTTTGGGGATTCAATTTCTTCTTGGTTTAGTGTTAGGAGACTTTATGTTTTCTGGAATTCATTCATTATTTCTAGATTTTCTAGTTTGTGCTCATAGAGGTGTCCAAAGTAGTATCTGATGGTGATTTTTATTCCTGTTGGGTCAGTAGTGGCAAACCTTTTATCGTTTCTAATTATGTTTATTTGGATCTTCCATCTTTTTTTCTTTATAATCTAGCTAGCAACCTATCATTTTTTTTTTCAAAAATCTAGCTCCTGGCTTTGTTGATCTTTTTAATGATTTCCTGGTCCTCAATCTCCTTCAGTTCAGCTCTGATTTTGGTTCTGTCTTGTCTTCTGCTAGCTTTGGGGTTGCTTTGCTCTGGTTTCTCTAGTTATTTTAGTTATGCTGTTAGGTTGTTAATTTGAGATCTTTCTAATGTTTTAATGTGAGTGCTTAATGCTATACATTTCCTTTTTAACACTGCCTTAGCTGTGTCCCAGAGATCCTGCTATGTTTTATCCTTGTTCTCATTAGTTTCAAACAACTTCTTGTTTTCTGGCTGAATTTTATTATTTACCCAAAAGTCTTTCACGAGTAGATTGTTGAATTTCCATGTAATTGTACGGTTTTCAGCAATTTTCTCAGTCTGGATTTCTATTTTTATTGTGTTGTGGTCTGAGAGAGTGTTTGGTGTGAATTCAGTTCTTTTTCACTTGCTGAGGATAGTTTTATCTCCAAAGTGTGGTTGATTTTAGAATATGTACCATGTAACAATGAGAAGAATGTATATTCATTGTTTTGGAGTGGAGAGTTCCATAGACATGCATCAGGTCCATTTGGTCCAGTGTTGAGTTTAGGTCCTAAATATATTGGTTAATTTTCTACCTTGATAATCTATATAATGCACTCAGTGGGGTGTTGAAGTTTCCCACTATTGTTGTGTGGGAGTGTAAGCCTCTTTCAAGGTCTCTTAGAATTTGCTTTATGAATCTGGGTACTCTTGTGTTGGGTGTATATATATTTAGAATAGTTAAGTCTTCTTGTTGAATTGAACCTTTTACCATTATTTAATGCCCTTCTTTGTTGTCTTTGATCTTTGTTGGTTTAAAGACTGTTTTGTCTGAAATTAGGATTGCAACTACTACTTTTTTTCTGTTTTCCATTTTCTTTGTTGGATTTTCTTCATCCCTTTATTTTGAGTCTATGGGTGTCATTGCATGTGAGATGGGTCTCTTGAAGATAGCATGGCCTTTGGTCTTGCTTCTATATCCACCTTGCCACTCTGTGCCTTTTAAATGGGGCATTTAGCCCATTTACATTCAAGGTTTCTATTGAAATGTGTGGATTTGATCATGTAATCATGTTGTTAGCTGTTTACTATTCTGACTTCTTGTGTGGTTGCTTCATAGTGTCACTGGTCTGTGTACTTAAGTGTTTCTATATTGGATGGTAATGGTTTTTATTTTCCATAATTAGTGCTTCTTTCAGAAACTCTGGTAAGGCAGGTTTGGTGGTCATGAATTCCTTCAACATTTGCTTATCTGAAAAGGATCTTAATTCTTCTTCTCTTATGAAGCTTAGTTTGGCTGGATATGAAATTCCGAATTGTAATTTTTTTTCTTTAATAAAATTTAATGTAAGTCTCCCGTCTCTTCTGGCTTGTACTGTTTCTGCTGAGATGTCTACTGATAGTCTCATGGGCTTCCCTTGGTAGGTGGCCTGTCCTTTCTCTCTAGCTGCCTTTAACATTTTTTCTTTAATTTTGTCTTTAAAGAATCTGATGATTATGTGTCTTGGGGATGATCTTCTTGTGAATTATTTTGCAGAGTTTTTCTGCATTTTCTGAATTTGAATGTTGGGCTCTGTAGCTAGGTTTGGGAAATTCTGATGGATGATTTCCTTAAATGTCTTTTTCAAATGTCGTCCATTCTCCCCATCTCTTTCAGGAATGCCGATGAATCACAGATACAGACTCTTTACATAATCCCACATTTCTCAGAGGTTTTGTTCATTGCTTTTTATTCTGTTTTCTTTATTCTTATCTGGCTATCTTATTTCAGAAAGCCAGTCTTCAAGCTCAGAGATTATTTACTCAGCTTGGTCTATTCTACTGGTAATATCTGTGATTGCATTATAAAATTCTGGTAGTGTGTTTTTCATTTCTATCAGGTCAGTTACATCCTTTTCTTTATAGGCTATTTTGTCTCTTGGGTCTTGTATCATTTTACAGTGATTCTTAACTTCCTTGAATTGTGTTTCAATGTTCTCCTGAATCTCAATAATCTTCATTCCTATCCATATTTTGAATTCTATTTCTGTCATTTCAGCCATCTCAGCTTAGTTCATAACCCTTCTTGTAGAGCTAGTATGGTCATTAGGAAGAAAGAAGGCACTCTGACTTTTTGAGTTGTCAGAGTTCTTGTACTGGTTCTTTCTCATCTTTGTGGGCTGACGGTCCTTCAGTCTTTGAAGTTGCCCTCCTTTGATGTTTATTTTTCCTCTTTATTCTATTTGATTCCCTTGGTGGTTTGATAGTGATATAAGGTGGGTTCAGTCGACTGACTTTATTTCTGAAATCTTTTAGTCAGGAGATAAGGCTCAGCTCAAGAATCCTGGACTGCATGCTTTAACTCTGGGTGAATGTTATTCAGTCCTTGCTTTGTTCTATGGCCCCTCAACATTGGGAACCTGGAGTGATAGAGAGGCCAAGGTGCTCCCAGGCCACTGGTCACAACACTTCAATGGGTGGTGCCACCCAAAGCACTTAGCAGGGAGGTGGCAGCGAGACCAGTTCTCATTTGCTTGTGCTGGTGGCAGTGCAGTGGAGTGCACTCCCATTGGCTGCTGCAGTGTGCTAGCAAGTGCTAGGGTACTGGCCTCTGTGCAGGCTTTCACAGTAGTGGTTGATGTTAGCATGGCACAGAGGGGCAGGGTGCCCCAGCTAGTGTCCATGCAACCATTTGTGCCAGTGTTGGTGTCAGCATGTGGGTGAGGTGCTGGTAGACACAGGGTTGTGTGCACCCTCTGTTGCCATTCAAACGGCTGCTGTAGGGGGAGCTGCTGTGGGTGAAGGTGGTGGGTCCACTGTTCACCATGCCTAGTTTCGCACTGGTGGCAATGTTGGGACAGAACATTGGCGAGTGAGGCTAGTGTACTCCATGCCCACCAATGCTCCTATGGCAACGCCAGTGCAGTGGGGGTGAGGAGGCAGCAGAGTGCACTCACACCTGCAGCAGTGGCACGGCAGAGTGCATATGCACACAAGTGCTGGCAGGGAAGGGGAGGCCAGGTCCTTTTGTGCACATATGCACTGGCAAAGTCATTTGGGGTGGCTGTGGGCAAGTGCATGCAGACAAATTGTCACAGAGAAGGCTGCAGTGCAGGGAGAGTGCTGGCAGGCTGGTGTGTGTCCTCAGGCACCTCTCTGCTGAAGCTCTCTGCCAGTGAGGTGCATTCCACCAGCGCAGGAGGTATGATGTGGGCCCCCAGGAGGTACTCCTCCCCTGTGCACCTGAGGTTGCACTGCAAGCAGGCATGGCCAGGCTGGGGCCTTGGGACAGGCAAGCAGACTGAAGGGTGCTCAGTTCAGCCCAGCCTCATCTCACGGGCAAGACCTCCCTACAGAGTTGAGGTCTGACAGTTCCCCTGGGCTAAAGTTTCTTATAGCAGCAAGTCGAGCCTAGGGAAATAGGTGTCCCTTCCTGTGCTCCACTATAGACACTCCCACACCAAACCCTCTGGGCTCTACCCTGTCTGGAGTTCTGCCCTTGCCCCTTCTCTAAGCAGCGCTCCCTGCCAACTCAAGTGTCTACGGTGGTCATGAGCTATCCTTCTGCCAGGATTCCAGAGGCCTTTGGTGAGAGTGAGTTGCTCCTTGCTAAAAGAGGCTATTTTAAGCTGATAACAGCTGAACTTTGATCACATACAAAAACTTTACACTTTTACCTTCTCACACATTAAAAATGTGTTACGTCACAATTTATGTCTTTTTATATTCTGTATCTGTGATGGTTAATATTAAGTGTCAAACTGACTGGTTTGAAGGATACAAAGTATTGTTTCTGGGTGATTCTGGGTGTTGCCTGCAGAGATTAACATTTGAGTCAGTGGACTGGGAGAGGAAGACCCCCGCCTCAGGAAGACCCACTCACAATGTTGCGTTGGGGGGGGGGGGGAGGCACCATCCAACCAGCTGCCAGCACAGCTAGAAAAAGCAGGTAGAAGAAAGTGGAAGAAGCTGATTTTTTGAGTCTTCCAGCCTTCATTTTTCCCCTGTGCTGGATGCTTCCTGTCCTCAAACATCAGACTCCAAGTTCGCTGGCTTTGGACTCTTGGACTTACACCAGTGTTTTGCCAGGGGCTCTTAGGCCGTTGGCCACAGACTGAAGGCTGCACAGTCAGCTTCCTTAATTTTGAGGTTTTGGGACTTGGACTATGCCACTACTGGCTTCCTTGCTCCTCAACTTATAGATGGCTTATTGTGAGACTTCACTTTGTGAACTTGTGGGTTGATTCACCGTAATAAACTGCCCTTCATATATACATATATACATATATCTTATTAGTTCTGTCCCTCTAGAGAAACCTGACTAATGCAATGTCCCTTAAGAAATTATAATAGCTATTTTTATTTTTAATAGTTTTATTTTGAAGCTTTCATACTGAAGAATAATGGTGGTCACGTACAAACCACCATTACGATGTTATAATGGTATTCTAAATTTGACTACGTACTTTTTCTCCGGTGAGTTTTATACTTTCATATTTTTTTTTGTTACTAATTTGCATCAGGTTCTTTTCGTGTGAAGAAGTCTCTTTAGCATTTCTTGTAAGGCAGGTCTGATTGTGATGAACTTTCTCAGTTTCTGTTTGTCTGAGAAAGTCTTTATCTCCCTTTGATTCTGAAGGACATCTTTGACAGATATGGTATTCTTCGTCGACTTTTTTTTTTCTTCAGCACTTTTGATATATCATCCCACTGTCTCCTGGCCTATAAGCTTTCTGTTGAGAAATCTGCTACTAACCTCAAACTTCCTTATATGTTATGTCCTTCTTTTCTCTTGCTGCTTTCAGGATTCTCTTTTTGTCCTTGATTTTTGACAGTTTGATTATAATATGTCTATGCATCATCTTGTTTGGATTGAATCTGTTTGGAAACCCTTAATCTTTCTGTACTGGAATATTCATATATTTCTCCAAATTTGCAGAGCGTTCTGCTATTATAGCTTTAAATGAGCTTTCTACGTCTTTGTCTTTTTTTCTCCTTACATTGATGCGTGCTCTTTTGAAAACGTAAAGACTTATTCTAGTCTTTACAGACTGGCTTTGTCTGGGCGAGCCCTCTGCTTGTCGGCCCATCCAGAGATTCTGGGTAGGCTGCCTGGCATGTCTGGAGGTAGGCTTGCTGCTGGAGTCATTGTGCAGCCTGGCCTCTGGTGTCTTGGTCAGCAGGTGGGAAAGCCTGGCACTTGAGTATGCAGCATTAGTTCTGAATCCTGAATCCACTGGGGTGGACCTGTTAATTGCATTGGTAGAGATAGGCCTGAAACCTGGGTCCATTAATATGGGACAAAATCCAGTATGTGTGGAGGCTGGCCTGAAGTCTAGGCCCACAGGGGTTGACATGACATGGGGGTGGGCCCTTAACTTCAGTTCTCTAAGGCTGGCCTGGCAGTGAGGTGTGTCTGGACCCTAAGTCTGCAAAAGTAGGTCTGGATCTTGGGTCCATGAGGGCTAGACTGTAGTCTGGGTTTTCAGGGGTGTTCATGCAGTCTCAGTTCACAGGATTCGACCTGACAAAAGGGTTTCCTGGAGTGGTCCTGGACCCTGGGTTTTCTGGAACAGGCCTAGACCTGGGCCCTCTGGAGCCTCGGTTTGACCTGATGCTGACGCTGGCATGGAGCCGGTTTCTATGGGGACTGCTCTGGAGAGCAGGATTGTGGGTGTTAGCCTGGATCCTATGTCCACTGATGCTGGCCTGGGGGCTTGTTGTGCAGGTGCTAGCCTAGAGGCTAGGTCCGTGAAGGCTTGCCTGGGGTCTGAGACTGTGGGGGATGGCCAGGGACCTGGGTGCACACGTGCCAGTCCAGAATTGTGATCTACTGGGACTGGCCTGGATCCTGTTTCTGCTGGATCAGGCCTAATCCCTGGGTTGCTAGAACATAGTGCCACAGGTGCCAGTCTGGAGGCTTGGGCCAGAGAGACCAGCCTGGCACTGGGAAGGCTTGGAATCTGTGTCTCTGAGTGTCCACCTGGTATTTGAGGTTGGGCTGTGGACTTGGCTGAGAATAGTCCAGAGCCTGGGGCCACTGGGTTTAGGCTGGCAGTGGGGTGGCTCTGAGACAGACTCCATCTAGCATGCCTGGAGCCTGGAACCTGGAACTACAGGATCTGGCCTGGAGCTGAGGTGGCTGGAGGCTCAGACACAGGCACTGTCTAGAGTCTGGGGCCCTGGAGTTCTGCCTAGCACTGGGTTTTACTGGGGAATTCCCAGTATTGGGGTCCAAAGCTGGGACCATTGCTTACTTCCTTCCCCTTCCCCCATATGGAGGGTATCTCTTTCCATACTGTGCTACCTTAAGTTGGGAGAGAGGTAAAGAGGGTAACGTGAAGCTGTTCTTCCTACCCTTTTCAATGTGACTTTTCTTATTTCTTTGATATACTAAGATGCTGTAATCTATCACCTGTCACTTGTGAAGATATATTTGTACATGAATAATTGTTCAAATTTATGCTTTTGTGGGGGCACAAGTGCTTGAGAATTGCTTGAGAGTCCTATTTGCTGACATTTGTCCCCTTGAGCTTGAATTTAAATACATGCCATCTAACCCGAGGTCCTGGACACTTACCCATTATTCTATATAATAATGAGTAAATTGGAAATTTCTGAGCCCTATGATTATGACAATGTGACATGATCTGTTGTGAGAAGTTAGTAGGGGAGAGATCCTAGAAGCCTGATTTAACAGAAATCTCAGTCCCGTGAGATACAACTACAACAGATTCAATCAGTTAAGTGATAACAACACAGACTGAAATGATCAATAGTCTTAAAAGTCTAGGATTTGGGGGATGTGTCTAAAAAGGGCAGTTAATTTGAACATAGAGCCAATGCATGTGGTTTTCTGCTTTGTATTAAAGTAATTGCACTGGTCTTAAAAGGTAAACCCTGGCTTTGATTGAGCAGAAGTAAGCTGCTGGGATCCTTTGAAGACATTCATTAGAGATATAAAATAAATATAGAAAGACAATGTGTAAGTAGCAAGGGATTATTTTAGATGGCTAGCCGATCAAGCATATTTTAACCAGTCAATATAATACTTAGTAAAAAATAAACAGCATATGAGTGAACACAGATTTTTCAATCTAACATTCTGTGATTAGTAACAGAGTTTAATTAACATGTTGCTACCAATCTGAAACTCATATTTTGAGAAAAGCTTTTAAATTTCTTTCCCTCCTCCAGAGGACTCTAGGAAAGTATGAAGAAACATCTTTTTTTTTTTTTTTTTTTTCTTTCCTACATTTTCCCGAAATTTGCTTTTCTGGTTCTAAACATCATAGAATTGGAATGGCAGTTTCCAGGAGTTATTGTTAGCCAATGAAGTTAGTAAGGACGAATTTATAACAGGATACATTCACAGAGTTACCAATGCTTTCTATAAAAATGAATCTAAGGCTTTTGTTTTCTGTCGGAGAAAACAAAATTCTGTCTTTACCCAAGAAGAGGAAATTCACAGTCTAGGTGAAGAGGGTGAGCAAATCTAGGAGGCCAGGGAAGAGATATTGGAATTGTCTATTTTGGGGTTCAAACAGGACAGCAGGTAGATGTGTATAGGATTGTAATGAAGATTAAGGCACTAGACAGAACAAAGCAAGTGAAGAACAAGTTCACAAAGAGCAAGAAACATGGAAAGGTGGAAAGATTCACTGTTTGAAATTTGGGTGGTGGTGCTCTGCTGTCAGAGAAATGGGAACTTGGTCATGAGTGGAAGGAGAAAAGTGGAGATTGCAAGAGCTAATAAGGTTTAGGAAGTGAGTTAGGAGGTTATCCGAAGTGTTATTAGCATCAGTGTGGACTCTTCTTTCTGTATCCGGGCAATCTGCTCTGTGTTGTGAATTCCATGCCTGAAAGGTGCCAAGGTCTTACATAATAATTATATGATACATAATACATTAACTACATTTCCATATCACTTTATAATGTGATGTCACAGTGGTCAGTGTCTCTTTCTTCTTATGAGCCCTTTCTTATTATAACAGCACCATTCATTTAGACGTTTTCCCTTGTTGTCTGTGAAAGCATCTTAAGACTGTGAAAGATGAAGTGAAGGTATTAGATATTAAAATATTAAGACATTTGCAAAACAGTAAAATTTGATATGAGAATGTCTTTTAGGTTTGAGCAAAGTCCGTTTGAAATTCTCATTTTGAAAACATACCCGATTTAACTGATTTAGGGCCTGAGGGCATTAAGAATAAATGGAACATAGAATATATATGAATGGGTTATTGAAAGAAAGCAAGGAGTTCTGGGATTGGGCTTCACTCCTTCAAATGATTGCCATGAACTTCTTTGGGAAACAAATATATATGTTTGTCTTAGGTAACTAAGTGCATCAAGCCACAGAACAGCAGCCACCAACAGTTTGTCATGGCCAAGCAGCAGCAGTTCAGTGGCTCTGAGTGGTGAAAGGAACATGACATGAGTGTGTTTGTGGAGATTCCAGAACTACATTCTCAATGCTACCTGAGTCAGCAATTCATTTGCCAATTGTATAAAATTCCCAGTACTACTGATTTATTTATTTTTCTTTTAAAAGGAACATAAAATTCTGTATTGTTTTAAGTTAAAAAAATCCACCTGTGCTTATCAAGCTAAATAAGTTGATTTTTGCATCACAGTTATAAAATGTGTAAATGTGTATCACTGTTTTTACTTGATAATAATATATCTGGTTATTTCATTTTTGTTGGAACAGAGTAATATATTTAACATAAAATATAAATTAGAATATAAAGTTCACAGTGGGAACTGAAATTATTGTTAGAGTTTGAAAAATGAGATAACATTTATGAAATTATAACTATTTATCACTGGGCTTCATGTTCAAAGACATCTGCTGATGGTGTTCATAATCTTTCAATGTGGGTGTGATTAAGACACAAATATGTGAATAGAAATGTAAGGTTATCTTTTAATATCTTTAAATTTTTTGACTACTATATTATTTTCAAAGACTTATTCTATTAGCAAGTGTGTATTGTTATTACATTAATTTTCTTTAAGTGAGGGACTGCTTAATTGTGCACTTTTAAGATATGTCATTTCCTTTTCTTGTGTTTAGGAAAGAATGACTCAAAGGCCCACAGAGTTCTTATGTCTAGAAATTGAATAATTTGGAAATAAAAGTAAAACCTCCCTTTCCTCAGTCAAGTTCCTGAATACAAAATTGACAAATGTTTTCCTTAAAACAGCACACTACTGGGCTGATTTAATCTCTACTGCTTTTATAAGCCAGAGTATAATTTTTGAAGGGTGTTTTAGTGTGTCCTTAAGGATCTTATTGTACCTGTCTTCTTTATAGTTCTTCCAATTTGGTTTGTCAAGCTGTAGCTTTTTTAAGCCACATATTCCTTCTATCACGTACGTGCTGCTAGTACTAAAAATGATTGCTCAAAACAAACTCAGTGAAAACAAAAGTGAATTATATTCTTGTTGCCTTAAATACCATTCTTAAAGTGGAATCTTACCGCAATCTATCAGGTTTATTATGCCCAGCAGACTTATTTAGAATATCCAGCATAATCATCTGCCTGTAGCCATTAATGCCAGTATGCAGGCCCTGTCACAGTTTTAGAAATACTCCAAGCCTTGTTGGAGAAGGAAGTCATGATTGCAATCAATAATCAAGTTCACCTGGCTACTCTTGTAGTTTGACTTTATGTCACAGTTTCAGGAACTTAGTTTCTTTTTGAGATCAAGTCCTTACCTTATGACTCAGTTATTTATTTGGACTCTAATATCAGTCCTGATCTTGATAAACAACGAAGCACTTCAATAACTTCAGGACTGGAAGTCTGATTTTCTCATGCTCCCATCTCTGCTACTAGAGACCTGATTCTTTTTTTTTTTTAATTTATTTTTTATTTTTATTTATTTATTTATTTATTTTATTATACTTTAAGTTTTAGGGTACATGTGCACATTGTGCAGGTTAGTTACATATGTATACATGTGACATGCTGGTGCACTGCACCCACTAACTCGTCATCTAGCATTAGGTATATCTCCCAATGCTATCCCTCCCCCCTCCCCTCACCCCACAACAATCCCCAGAGTGTGATATTCCCCTTCCTGTGTCCATGTGATCTCATTGTTCAATTCCCACCTATGAGTGAGAATATGCAGTGTTTGGTTTTTTGTTCTTGCGAACTTCAAACCATATGGCACGGGGCTGGATTCCTGTTTACTCTTATGTCTTAACAAGTAGTAGCCTGCCAGCTTAATACATCTCAATATATTCCTTCCTGGAGGTCCCTGTTATTTGTACCTCATATGCCAGCTATGTCACCTTTACTACAGCTCTGCAGGATGATCAGTTACCTGTTATTTTCTCTCAGAATAATCGACTTTTCCTGTCTAGCTGGACTTCCTCACCTCTCCAGCAACATTTTCTCTGGTTTCAGGTCCAAACTCTGTAGGACTTGACCCCTGTCTTGAAATTAAACCTTCTGTGAAAAACCATTCGACAGAGGAAATTTAAATCATCCATGGTGGTTTGCATTATCTATTTCAAGATCTCTTTGTAGATGGCTATCAAAAACATTTAATGTTATCTATTATGTATTTTGTTCAAAACTTTCTATGAATCTTCTATTATCTCTGAAAATTATACATTAATATCTCCAAAATTCACTAGCTATAAGAGGTATAAAAATATAGATAAAATATTCAGATTCTTTAAAAATATCTCATTTTACCACATATAAAATATATCTATCAAAAAAGTATAACATTTCTGTTTAATCTGTTAGAACATGTTATCTATTTAAATGAGTCATTATAAGTCTGTTGTGTACAAAAAAATCAGTTAAAACGCTGCAAAAAAAAAAAACCCAGTGCCTCTGTTAAGATGACATTCAAATTAGTAAATGAAGTAAAAAAAGAAAGAAAAGTAAGAAGTACAGAGCAGAAAAAAATATGAACTTATGCTGGCTTCTTTCAACATCAATAGATTTAAAAAACTGGAACTAAGTTGAATTTGATACACATATTCAGTTTGTGCTTGAAAATATTTTTTCTCTAGAAAAATGAAATTTTTTAACATTAAGTCCCTTATGCCAACTTCACTAATAGTCTAACCTGAGGAAGACATGTTACTTTCTTAAATATGCCACACATTATTGTCTTAAAATGACATCTGACATAAAACATAAGAAGTAAATTCATAATAATGTGGTTCAGAGGAACATATCC
This sequence comes from Homo sapiens, assembly GCF_000001405.40. NCBI lineage: Eukaryota > Metazoa > Chordata > Mammalia > Primates > Hominidae > Homo > Homo sapiens. Next base: position 34,489,680 of record NC_000023.11, read on the forward strand.
ATTGCTGGAACAGTAATTGTTTGGATGCCACTTGGAAAAATAATATCAAACAAAATATGAATCTTCAACAAAAGTCTTCCCATGTTTAAATTCTCCTAATAAATGGTAACACTTTTTTAGAGGCGGCATATCAAGGATTTAAAGAATTTGTGTGAGAAGAGAACTGAGTAAACAACATCCATTTCTTCCATGTATTTGCTGTATGATCTTTGACAAGTCTTTCCTCCATTTCGTCATTTGCCTGCTTATCCATACTTTTTAAAAATACTGAATGAGTTCATTTATATAAGCTGCTTAACAGTGTGCTTAGCATATGGAAATGCCTAATAAACAGTAGTTAGCATTATTGTTATAATTTTAACTATGAGTAACCAACACATTTCTGTAGTTATTATTTGTTTTCATTTGTATTAAAATGCTCTGAAATGCCATTAATAACACATAACATTTTATCACCGATTCTATGTGTGGGATATTTTAAATATTTAATCTGGCTGTCGCATTTTGCTTTTGCAGAAGGTATGTTGAGATATGTAGAAAAGACAAATGAAAACATTTTTAAAAGGTTTATTTTAAGTAGTTTATTTCTTGACAATACATTCAGAGCACAGGAAAATTGATTCTTTCACATGCATTCTTTAAAACCTCTTGCCCAAAGAGCCTATAGCATCATTCATCATTTCCTACTGTTTCTACATCCATCACATCGTTTTCCTTTGCTTTCCATATGACCTCCTTATTTCTTCTAGTTATAATAGCAAGCAGAACTAATCATGAATAAATTCAAATTTGGGACAAAGGAGAAGCTCAATGGCCAGATGAGACCTTAGGTCTCTCTGGCCCATGGCCCTAGGGTAATCTTATCTATCATGAGAAAGAGTCTGTTATATCCCAGCTGTGCACAAGGCTAGGCTAGGCATTAGAGTAAATTAAATGGGCATGATCTGCCAGCCTGGTAAGCATCTTTTTTTTTTTTTTACCTTTCATTTTAGTTTCAGGGGTCTATGTGCAGGTTTGTTATATAGGTAAATTGCGTGTCTTGAGGGTTTGGTGTACAAATTATTTCATCACCGAGGTAATAAACATAGTACCCAATAGGTAGTTTTTCAATTGTCACCCTCCTTTCACCCTACACTCTTTAGTAGGCCCTGCTATCTGTTGTTCCCTTCTTTGTGTCTATATGTCCTCAATGTTTAGCTCCCATTTACAAGTGAGGACGTGCAGTGTTTGTTTTTCTGTTCCTGTGTTAGTTTGCTTAGGATAATGGCCTTCTGCTACATCCATGTTTCTGCAAAAGATATGATTTTATTCTTTTTTATGGCTTGTAGTATTCCATGGTGTATATGTACCATATTTTCTTTATCCAGTTGACCACTGATGGGCATTTAGGTTGATTCCATGCCTTTGTGAATTGTGAATTCACTATTGTGAATAGTGCTGTGATGAACATACATGTGCATGTGTCTTTATGGTAGAACAATTTGTACTCCTTTGGTTATATACCCAGTAATGCAATTGCTGGGAAATTGCCCATAAAACTGCTTTCCATGGTGGCTGAACTAATTTGCATTCCCACAAGCAGCACATAAGCATTCCCCTTTCTCCACAACCTTGACAACATCTGATATTTTTTGACTTTTTAATAATGGTCCTTCTGTCTGGTGTGAGATGGCATCTCATCGTGGTTTCGATTTGCATTTCTCTAATGATTAATGATATTGTGCATTTTTTTCATGTGCTTGTTGAGCACATGAATGTTTTCCTTTGAAGTGTCTATTCATGTCTTTTGCCCACATTTTAATGGGGTGGTTTGTTTTTTGCTTGTGAATTTATTCAAGTTCTTTATAGATTCTGGATATTAGACATTCGTTTGAAGCATAGCTTGCAAATATTTTCTCCCATTCTGTAGGTTGTCTGTTTACTCTGTTTATAGTTTATTTTGCTATGTAGAAGCTTTTAGTTTAATTAGGTTCAATTTATCAATTTTGATTTTTGTTATGATTGCTTTGGGAATCTTTGCCATGAAGTATTTGCCAGGTCTTATGTCCAGAATGGCATTTCCTAGGTTATCTTCAGAGTGTTTAGTTTTTGGTTTTAGATTTAAGCCTGTAATCCACCTTGAGTTAATTTTTGCATTAACTCAAGGGGCCCTTACACCCAGAAGGCATCTTTAAGTGTTGACTTTTTAGCATTTATCAAATCTCCCCTGTGCTGTCTCTGTCAAAACAAATTAAGGGCCTGCTTTGAAAATCCTTGTGTCTTAATAAGACCAACAATATATGCTGATAGCCAGAGTAAAAATATGTAGCAGATGCTAGGCATAGATTTATGTATTTCTTGGTAAGGAAGAAAAACAAATAGAGTATGTTCCTCCTTCTTCTCTGTCGTAGCACCATGACACTGATGTTGCTGACTTAAATTGTAGACGGTGGAGAGAAATTTGAGACAACATGGTAATAGAAACTCTTGAAAACACATCCCTATCTCTCCTTTTACTCAGAAACTCCCTTTTTAGTTATCATTTTCTCTGTCAGTCAGAAAACTTGCATCAAACATATTTAATGTTCTGAGATTTATGCTTTCCTGAGGGAGCATGATAGAATATAATCTCTGCCTTCAAAAATCTGTGAATTCTTCACATTCAGGGAGAGGAGACTCATCTACTTGAAACAATAAATGAACAGTCCAAATAAAATATTTTAAATTCTACAAGTTATCAAATACACAACAGGGACAGAATGCAATTAGAAAAGCAATAAATCAGAATAGACTAGCATAGTTAATGTTTACGGATTCAACTAAATTTTAAGTGAAATTTTACTAACAAATTTAAAACATTGTTTACATATGGTTGTTTTCTTTATATTCATCCTTATCTTTTTCTTAAATTAAAAAATTGTCAAATAATACTCAGGATTTGCAAATTAAATTTAAATAAAAAAGCACAATGAGATGATCACCTTCATAAAATAAGGAAGAATGAAAAAAAAGGGCAGGTGTCGGCATAGATTGCACAGTCTTGTTTGGGGTGACAACATTATAAAACTAGTGATCAATTGATGGTCTATGGAAAACTCTAGAATTTAAGGCATTTAGTGAGCAGAAGAGAATCCAGAAGATAATCCAGAAAATGAAGTTGTCATAATGGTCAGAGGAGAACCACGAGTATGGAGGGCCCAGAGTGTTTATTTTCTATGGTTTTGTAAAAAATTACTAAAAATTTAGCAGCTTAAGATAACACCCATTTATGAGATCACAGTTCTGTAGGTCAGAAGTACAGGCACAATGTCTCACAAGGATAAAATCAGGGTATCAGCCAGGCTGGCCTGTGATCTGGAGACGCTGGGGAGAAATCTGTATAAGTTCATTCAACTTGTTAACAGAATTCAAATCCCTACAGCTGTAGAATTGAAATCCAAATTTCCTTTCTCGCTATTGGTGAACAACCCAAGAATGCTCACATTTCTTCACACATGCCTCCCTGTCTCCATCTTTAAACCAGCATGGGCATGTCAATTCCTTCTCACACGATGCATCTCTCTGACTTTTCTTTGTGAAGCCAGCTGGAGAAAACTCTGTATTTAGAGGGATCACCTGATTACGTCTGGCCCACCTGGATAATTTTCATATTTCAAAGTTAACTCACTTGAGACTTTCATTATATCTGCAAGATCTCTTAACAACAATACCTAGATTAGTGTGTGATTAGATAACCGGGGGCAAGGATCTTAGTGTGGATGCATCTTTAGAATTTTGCCCACCACATCCAGTCATCAAAGAAAAATGTTTTCAAGAACATACAAATAAAACCATGTATAAATAGCTAAAGTAGGCTAAAGGAGGTCATGTACTAATTAAAAGCCACTGTACTGTTAAATCTGGTGGAATATGGTGAGCTTTGAGTGAGCTAATTCTAAAAACTTATGGAGTTGAAGAGAGTATTACAAGAGTAATAAAACTGCAAGGAAATAAAGAATACATGGGTAGTTGGAAAGCATATAGCATAGTCAAGAAAAAATAGAAATCGATGCCTAGATGCATTAAGATTAAAGTTGAAGAACCCCAGGAAAATCTTTAAAAAAAACACTTTAAAAAGATAAATTACTGGAGACAAATTAGAAATAAACTAACATAAAAACTAAACAAGAAAAATCAAAACAAACAAGAAAACTCAACAATAATCATGGAAGCCAGAAGATAGTGGAATATTATTTTCAAATTTTTGAGGCTAAAACAATTGTCAACCTATTAGTGTTTGCCCGGAAAGTCTGTTTTTCAACAAGGAGAGGGAGAAACAAAAATACAAAAACAAAAAAAAAAAACTTTTTTTTTTTTTTGAGACAGAGTCCAGCTCTTGTCGCCCAGGCTGGAGTGCCGGCGGTGAGATCTCGGCTCACCGCGACCTCCGCCTCCCAGGTTCAAGCAATTCTCCTGCCTCAGCCTCCTGAGTAGCTGGGACTACATCCCACCAGGCCCAGTTTTTTTTTTTTTTTATTTTTAGTAGAGGCAGGGTTTCACCATGTTGACCAGGCTGGTCTGGAACTCCTGGCCTTAGGTGATCTGCCCGCCTCGGCCTCCCAAAGTGCTGGGATTACAGGCGTGAGCCACCGTGCCCGACCAAAAAATAATTTTAAGGTACACAAAAACTGAGAGTTTTATCATAATTAAGCCTACAGTTAAGGGACGTCTAAAACATGTACTTGCTAAGGATAATCCTTAAGAGTGAAGGAAAAAGAGATATAAATGTACACATTTCTAACAGATTTTTTTGTGTAAAATAATAATAGTAACAACAACAGCAACAATAATGAGTCTAAAATGTGGAGCTTAAAAAAGGGCTGATACAACATACTCAACACAATATAACATATAACAACATGTCAAAACCTTGATGACAAAAATTAAAGAGTGTTAGTGTCTTCACATTATTCAGCAAGTATTTGAATTACTAATTTTAGACTATGTTAATTAATTAAATATACAGGATGAAATATCTAGTATAACTAGTAAAAGAAAATCTCTGTATATTTTCAAAACCAGTAGAATGAAAAGTGATATATTAAAGTGAACAAACAAATCAATCCGCAAAAACAAATAAACCAAAAAAAAAAAAAAAGCAAGAAAGGTAAAAAGAAGAAGCTTCGAGAAAACAAAACAAATATAAAGGGAAAAGTAAATTCATAGAAATAAATCCAAGCATTATCAACATTTATTATACCTGTTGTCATGTATAAAATGTATGTGGCTAGAAGCATGCACACCAGACAAGCTAGAGTCATGTTTATCAGAGAAAACCCATAGAAATAGGAACAGTAACAGGTGTGCATATCTTCTGTTGCTCATTGAATTCTAGGCCCAAGAAGAGTTATTTCACAGTAGGCCTCAGAGTCTGGAAGAAGGTTCTCACACAGGAGCTGTGGAGCTTTTAAGTATTGTGAATCCATGAGGAACATCATTCCCTTCCCATGGCTTGATGAGGAGCCAGACTATAATTGCAGAACCTTGAATTCAGCCCGGCCCTGCAATCTCAGCATTCATGGTAGGTGGTATCCATTTTCCACCCCTTCCAGTTCAAGCCATGTGATTGCAGAGATACATATCAACACAGCAGCAATATTTGACATGTTTTCTTCATATAATGAGGGGCTGGGATCCAAACTTTAATATGGGCCAGGAGTGATTTTCTTAGTCAGCAGGCCATAACTCATTTCCATGGAGTTTTACAGGGGTGTATGAACTCAACTCTTTTTTTTCTGGGGACCAATCTGGGAAAAGTAAACACTTAACACTCAATAATACATAAACTAAGATTATCAATTAAGACACACATTTTCCAATTATATGTAAATATCATGTTTCAGTCTTAGGTTTTTCAAAAGAGCTCACTTAAAATCCAAGGTCTAGTAAAGATTGAAATTAAAATAACTAAGAAATAAATCCCAAATGAAATTACATTTGGGTTATTTATACTAATATCGGGAAAATACAGAAGTAAGCAGGAAAAATTTAGTATATATTAAGTGTATATAATATATTTCTATATGAAACAATATAAGCTCTCTCAGAAGATATTAAAATGCTAATTCCTGTACCTGGTAAAATACCCTTACATTATTTGAAGTAAAATTGCCAGAACTCAACTTGAAGTAGAGAAATCCATTGACATAGTAGATTTCAATATAACAATTTCTGACAAGTTGCACATACAAAAAAGACAGTAAAATACAGAAATTTAAACAACAAAACATAAACAAGCTTTACATAATGGCAATATGCAGAACTTTGCAGCAATAATTGGAGAATATACATTATTCTTAAGTATATACTGGACATTTACAAAACACCATTCTCAGCAAACTATCGCAACGACAAAAAATCAAACACCGCATGTTCTCACTCATAGGTGGGAATTGAACAATGAGAACACATGGACACAGGAAGGGGAACATCACACACAGGGGACTGTTGTGGGGTGAGGGGAGGGGGGAGGGGGGAGGGATAGCATTAGGGGATATACCTAATGTAGATGACGAGTTAATGGGTGCAGCACACCAACATGGCACACGTATACATATGTAACAAACCTGCATGTTGTGCACATGTATCCTAAAACTTAAAGTATATATATAAAAAAAAAAGCTGGCCACATAATTCATACATAAGTATTACAAAATTTCAAAGACAGTTTCATATGGACCATTTAAAAATAACTCATTGATCAAAAAATGAATCATAATAGAGATTGTTTAAAATACTTAGATGACCTTATAATAAAATGCTACATATCAAAAGATGACATGCATTGTACACCAGAAGACATTTTTTAAATAGTAAAAGCTTAAATAATAAAATTAAATTATGCCAGTAGTAATACAAAATATAAGCGAATTCCTTTATTATGTAGAAATGGGTAAAACATTCCTTACTATAATTCAAAATTTAGAAGGAATAATGGAAATTATTAATAAATTTTATTACGTTAAAACTGTGGATGATATAAGTGAATAAAAGTGGGGAAGGAAGGAGGGAAGAAGGGGAGGGAGGACAAATGACAAAGTTAGATAAAACATGAAGGCAAATATTTCTATAATATAAGGAACTTTTTAAAAAATAAAAATAAAAAACCCAAAAACTGTACGGGAAAAAAATGGGTGATGATACAGAAAACTATTGTCCTTTGTAGGGACATGGATGAAATTGGAAATCATCATTCTCAGTAAACTATCGCAAGAACAAAAAACCAAACACTGCATGTTCTCACTCATAGGTGGGAATTGAACAATGAGAACACATGGACACAGGAAGGGGAACATCACACTCTGGGGACTGTTGTGGGGTGGGGGGAGGGGGAGGGATAGCATTGGGAGATATACCTAATGCTAGATGATGAGTTAGTGGGTGCAGCACACCAGCATGGCACATGTATACATAGGTAACTAACCTGCACATTGTGCACATGTACCCTAAAACTTAAAGTATAATAATAATAAATAAATAAATAAAATTTTAAAAAAAGTACCAACAGTCGCACTTAATTATACAAGGTAGTTTTTAATCTCATATTATATATAATAAGAGAAATACAAATTGATACTAAACTGAGGTATCATTTCTAAACTTGGCAAAACAGAACATTTTGACAACATACTCTGTTGTTAAGGGTGTAAGGAAACAGTCAACTTCATACATTGCTAGAGGAAATACAAAATCATACCATCTCAATGAATTTGGTAATAGCAAATTATTAATTTGCAAAATTACATATGCCTGTAACCTTTGACCCAGCAATCCCACGTCTAGGAACCTATCCCAAAGATACATGCATTGAAATATGAAATGACTTATACACCAGGCTATTTATTTGTCTACTATTTACAAAAGCAAAACAGTTGTAAAAAGAAACAAGGACAAATGAAATGTGTTAAACTCTTTGGGTACCTTTTGGGGAACAAAGGTGTGGGAACTTTACACATACACACACTCATACATATGCACACATATCTGATATTTTCAAAAAGAACAGTGGAGGATAAACCAAAAATTAATTAAAATAAATAGTAACCTTTATTGTGAATAGTGCTGCAATAAACATGGGAGTGCAGATATCTCTTCCATATGCTGATTTCTTTTCTTTTCGATATATATCTAGCAGTGAGATTGCTGGATCATATTGTAGTCCTTTAGATGAAAGGAAGAGACAATGAAAATACTGGGAAGAACAAAAATAAAAGTTAGTTATGTTCTAATGTGTCTTATTTTATAATTTTGACCTTAGAACCTTGTTTGCGTATTATATATTTGAAAGACAACACCAAACACAAAATTTTAAAAAGTGAAGCAATCCCTAAAATAAAATGCAAAGTGAAGCTCACCAAGTTTTCTTTTATCAAATTGGTGGCATAATGCCAAGGATATTTATCTCAATTAAAAATATTATTTTGACTTTATATACCTATCTGGGACCAAACATAATGACCACTAAATCTTAAGTTGTATCTAGTGATATTACTATTAAGTTTAATGTTGGTATAACTTTGAAACTATTATAAATATACACACTCCACTACATACAAAGGAGATTTCAACTTATGAGTAATTATACCAATATTGGAAAGCAAGATTTTCATATTTGAAACTTTAGATCACAGAATATAAAAGGACACGGAAGGCAACTAGAAGGGACTCTAAGCAAAGATTAAAAAAAATTGAGCATCAAAAGAAGAATGGCAACTGAAATATATTGAGTCTATAAAACTGATAAATTTAGCCAGGCGCGGTGGCTCACGCCCGTAATCCCAGCACTTTGGGAGGCCAAGGCAGGCAGATCATGAGGTCAGGAGTTTGAGACCAGCCTGGCCAATATGGTAAAACCCTGTCTCTACTGAAAATACAAAAATTAGCCAGGCATGGTGGCACGCGCCTGTAGTTCCAGCTACTCAGGAGGCTGAGGCAGAAGAATCGCTTGAACCCGGGAGGCGGAGGTTGCAGTAAGCCGAGATTGTGCCACTACACTCCAGCTTGGGCAACAGAGCAAGAGTCCATTTCCAAAAAAAAAAAAAAAAAAAAGATAAATTCATAAATATACTTAATCCATTGTTTATCTGTTGAGATTTTACTCAACATATCAGCTTATTATTAAAAAAATTCATACAAATTCATAAAGTAGTCAATAAAATATAAATTTGTAAAATAGTCAATAATCAAAATAATCAAAAATCAAGTGCTGCACAGCACCACTTGGGAAATATTCTTGCTAAAATAAAATAAGGTAAAATAAAATAAAATAAAACAGTTGAACATCTAGATCTAACTCACAGTTACAAGAAACTTTAAAGAAAAAGAAGAAAAAATGTTGCATGGGAATTTTAAAGACACAAATGAGACAGAATGGTATATGAACAATAGAATAAATAAACAATTATAGAAGTTAAAAGATGATAAAGATAAGATCAAAAATTCATCAAATTCTGAACAAATACACAATGAAGATAACCAACAAGACACAAATTAGTTATTTTTAACAAGATAAATAAAAATGCACAGATGCTGGCAAAATTAATCAAGAAGCACAACAACATACATAAACAGCCGAGGCAGAAAAAGGAAAAAGGCAAAAGTAGATATAAAGTGCGGATTACAAAAAAGAAAAAAAAAAGATGAATTTTACCCACAATAAACGTGAGAATGTACACGAAGTCGCCAATTTGCTAGAAAAGAGTAACATGAAATTTAACTCAACAATATTGTAATAACAAATAAATTGGATCAGTATTTTAAAATTTAAAATGACCACAAACAAAAGCCTCAGTGGTTTTCAGGCAAATTTTACCAAATTGCAAAGAAAAGATAAATCAAATTTTGTAAACGTATTTCAAGAGAATAGAAAAAAAGGAATAGAATACTCCACAACTAATTCAATGATGACAATATACACTCAATAGCGAAAACTGATTATGGCAGAATAAGAAAGACAAATTGGAGGCCAAAACACTTATTAACATAAACTCAAAGATCCTAGACAACATATTAGCAAAAAAAAAAAAACCCACAGTGTACAAAAAGAAAACCTCCACATAGTGACCAGTTTGGCATGACTGAGTTGCATTTTTATAACAGTACACTGACTGCTATGTTGAGAAGAGACTGACATGGGAGAAGAGGCAGAAGGTAGAAGCGCAATCAAGAGCAGGATTGCAAGGTAAAATTTGTATTTGCTAAATCTAATCTAGCAACTCTAGTTAAGCGATTATTGCAATAATTGAGATGAGGCATGTTGGTGGCTTATACCAAGATTGTGGAAGGGAAGATGGTGAAAAGTGTTCAGATTCTGGAAACATTTTTATGTTAAATACCACATGATCTCACTCATATGTGGAATCTAAAAAATTGATCTCAGAGAAGTAGAAAGTAGAACAGTGGTTACCAAAGACCGGGGAGGATATGGGGAAGAGCGGAGGAGGAAACATTGGTCAACAGGTACAATGTTACACCTATATAAGAGGAATAAGTTCTGACACTCCATTGCACAGTAGAGTGACTATAGCTAACAACAATGCATTGTATATTTCAAATAGCTAGAAGAGAGGATCTTAAGTGTTTTCATCACAAAAAAATGATAAATGTTTTAGGTGATGGATATGTCAATTATTCTGATTTGATCATTATGCAATGTATAGATGTATCAAAACATCACATTGTACCTCACAAATATGTACAATTATTACATGTCAGTAAAAAATACAACAGATTTTCTGATGGATTGAATATGAATTATTTTCTATCCTTCTCTCTGTCACCACTTGCCCTACATTGTTCTAGGGTTTTAGCCTCCATTACCGCACTTCTAAAATAGCCTTCTGATTGCTCTGTTTCTTCTAACCCTGCCCCACTACAATTCCAAATTCCAGTTTAAATAATATTCCTAAAAGTGCAAATCTGATTATTTACTACCTAAGTCTTTTCAATGACTTACTTTTGCCCTTGGGGTAAAGTCTAACTCCTAAAAATAGATGTCATTCACTCTTTGGCCCCATGACTACATGGCCATCCTCAAGGCACTCTCTTCCACTAAGCAAACTCCACTTTCTGTCTGGCTATATTCTATTTATTCTCTAGTTCTGAACCTAAACATGACATTCTCAAAAAAGCCATCATTAAGGAAGATTTTGTTCCATTGCCATAGGATCCCATAAAATTCTAGTTTCTCCTATCATAACATTCATCAAGTTACATTATAACCACTTATTTAATTGAATGGTTTCTTCAATTGTTCATTAACTTTGAGGCAGTGTGCAATGTAACTGTCTTGTTTATTATTGTTTCCCTAGACCTTAAAGAACACTTGACATGGAGTACATAGCCAATAAATATTTTAAATGAATGATTAAAAATTAATTATGTATTTGCATTTCACATATGCACAATGGTCATTGAGACTTCCAAATTAACAAATGAAGGTGCTTCATAACACCACACTAATGATGTCACGAGTTATTATATTTGCTAACAATTTGTCCTTAGAATGAGTTTATTTTTTCCTTAACTTAAAGAATGCATTTATATTATGTCACAAAACTTAATTATAACAGTACATTTTGACATTTTACCTTAAAAATAATTACTTCAATCTCTGGTTAACTATAACTTACTTCACTTCCACAATGTGAAAATAAAACGGACTTTTTATTTCTACATGTTTCATTTAACTAGCAATCAATAAGATGACAGAGAAACACGTACAGATTGGATGATATTTCTTTCTTCTACTATAACAAATGGTGAAACACTAAAGTGACTCTAAAATGGAAGTCAACGAGACAGAAGGATTATAAATGAAATGGGGGCATATTTAAAACTTTGGGGAAGGATTAATAATCTAAGTTTGCATGTGACTGATAAAATGAATGTCATATCAAAATAAAATTAAAGATTTAATAACAGCAAACTGGAAAGTGTAAATTCATACTTTTTTTTTTTTTTTTGAGACAGAGTCTCGCTCTGTTGCCCAGGCTGAAGTGCAGTGGCGCGATCTCTGCTCAATGCAAGCTCCGCCTCCCGGGTTCACGCTATTCTCCTGCCTCAGCCTCCCGAGTAGCTGGGACTACAGGCGCCCGCCACCACGCCCAGCTAATTTTTTTTTTTTTTTTGTATTTTTAGTAGAGACGGGGTTTCACCATGTTAGCCAGGATTGTCTTGATCTCCTGACCTCATGATCCGCCCGCCTCGGCCTCCCAAAGTGCTGGGATTACAGGCGTCATACTCTTTTTAAAAGCAGTATCCCTTCTAGTTCTAGCACTAATTTGGCCCAGCATCAATTCCATCCTACTACCAGAGTTACTCATATGGCAGCCTCCAATGCCCAGAATTTAATTACTAATAACTTTTCTCTTCCTCTGTGATATCCATCTTGGGTAATAGCTGATCCTATGATGTGGAACATGTTATAGCTACCCAAAAGTGAGGAGGATTTCAAAGATATCTTGAATAGTGCTATCAGAACAATTGAGCTCAGTTAAAAAATGATTCTCAATGTCTAAATTCTGACAATATATGTGTAACACAGAAAATACTACTGTAATTTGTAACAAGTTGAGTCTGTGAATAAAAGCGTGACTCTAATTACAATCATAAAAAGAAAATTTACTATAATGTTGAAAAAGAAAGTTGTAATACAAATGAAAAGTGATATCATAATTATATTTAATTTACTAGTTAATTTTAAAGATAACGGGTATAACATATAGAATTTTTTTTCTGTTAATTATCTATCTATGAAGAATAAACTTATATAGGTCTTAAGTCAACTTGTTTAAGAATAGTAAGACCCTACAGCAATAAATTGATTGTTATTCGTGGTCTTTCATCGTATTTAGGAAGAAAGAAATTTTAAATGGTTTAGCAGGATGAAGAAAGAACAAAATATCATGTTTCTCATTGTCCAGGATATGAAATGTCTGAATGATAACACTAAATAAAATTAAATAACGATAAGACTTACTTGTTTCCAATAATAATAACAGAACAAATCAATATGCAATATTTAATTGGCAGCAGGATATAGAGCACTTGACAAGGAGAGTGAAAGGCTTGGTGGCTCATGCCTGTAATCCCAGCACTTTGGGAGGCCAAGGCGGGCGGATCACCTGAGGTCGGGAGTTCAAGACCAGCCTGACCAACATGGAGAAACCCTGTCTCTACTAAAAAAATACAAAATTAGCCGGGCGTAATGGCGCATGCCTGTAATCCCAGGTACTCGGGAGGCTGAGGCAGGAGAATCGCTTGAACCTAGGAGGCAGAGGTTGTGGTGAGCCGAGATAGTGCCATTGCACTCCAGCCTGGGCAACAAGAGCAAAACTCTGCCAAAAAAAAAAAAAAAAAAAAAAAGAGAGAGAGAGAGAGAGAAACGCTGACCAGGGTACAGGATAATAAAACTTAAGTGAAAGGCTTAAGTTTGACATAACAGTGTAAACTTTATTATTAAAATAATGGGACCGGGACCTCCAATTTGAATTACCTTAAAGGGTACAACTATATGTATATCCCATGCCCTATTTGATTAGCAATTGGTTGGTATCCAGAACCTGCAAATTTTACTGGTCTTAACACTTGGCTTGTTTCCAACCTAAATACCAAGATAACTATCACTGTAAACTTTCCATGTCTGCTTGTGGAGACAGAATATTTCCGTTCTATTGAAATAACTTCCTAAAAGTGAAAATGCTCAGTCAGAAGTGTATAAACATGCTAAATATTCAATATAATTTGCCAAATTGTTATTTGGAAAGTTCGTAGTAATATACATTATAAACAGTAATGTATCTATGTTTCCTATAGATTTAGGAATTATAGATTATAGATTTAATCCCAGTTACTATTTTCCAGGCTTATACATTTGTGAGTTGTTTCCTCTGTCTTAATCATTTCCGAAGTTTTTAATAAATCCTATATATGATGACTCGAAGACTTGTATATCTGTCAAAGAACCCTTCTGAGAAATCCAGACCCAATCACCTTACTGAAATTGTCATTTAAATGTCTCAAAGGAAACTCACATTTAGCAATCCCCCACACTGTACATGTAACTTTCTCTCCAACACTGAACCCACCTCTTCTAAGATATTTTCTTAGTGAAAAGCATCAATGTCCAATAAATTGCACACACCAAAAACCAAAAAGTTTTTAGTCCAGTATATCTTTTTTTTTCCTTTTTGAATTTTTATTTTAGGTTCAGGGTGTACATATGCAGATTTGTTACATGAAAAAATTGCGTGTTGCATGGGCTTGGTGTACAAATGATCTGGTCACAAAGGTAATGAGCATAGTTCCCAATAGGTAGGTTTTTTAGCCTCAGTCTCTTCCCAGTCTTCACCCTCAGGTAGGCTCTGGTGTCTATTCTTCCCCTCTTTGTGTCCATGTGTACTCGGCGTTTAGCTGCCGCTTTGAAGTGACATTGTGGTATTTGGTTTTCTGTTCCTGTGCTAATTTGCTTAGGATAATGGCCTCCAACTCTATCCATGTTGCTGCCAAGGACACGATTTCATTCCTTTTTATGACTGTATAGTATTCCATGGTGTATTTGTACCACATTTTCTTTGTCCAGTCCACCGTTGATGGGCATCTCGATTGAATCTATATCTTTGCTATTGTGAATAGTGCTGTGATGAACATACACGTGCTTGTGTCTTTTTGGTAGAATTATTATATTCCTTTTGGTATGTACTCAGGAACGGGATTGCTGGGTCAAATGGTAGTTCTGTTGCAAGTTTTTTGAGAAATCTCCAAACTGCTTTCCACAGGGGCTGAACTAATTTACATTTCCACCAGCAGTGTATAAGCATTCCCTTTTTTCTGCAACCTTACCAACATATGTTACTTTCTGGCTTTTTAATAATAGCCATTCTGACTGGTATGAGACAAGATCTCACTGTGGTTTTGATTTGCATTTATCTGGTGATTAGTGATGATGAGCATTTTTTCATATGCTTGTTGACCACATGTGTATCTTCCTTTAAGAAGTGTTTGTTCACATCCTTTGCTCATTTTTTAATGGGGTTGTTTTTGATTGCTGAATTGTTTAAGTTCTCTATAGTTTCTGGATATTAAACCCTTGTCAGATGCATAGCTTGCAAATGTTTTCTTACGCTGTTTGTTTACTTTGTTGATAGTTTCTTTTGCTGTGCAGAAGTTCTTTGGTTTAATGAGGTCCCACTTGTCTGTTTCCTTTTCTGTTGCAAGTGCTTTTGCAGACTTTGTCATGAAATCTTTGCCAAGCCAAAGCCTATGCCCAGAATGGTATGTCCTAGATTTTCTTCTAGGGTTTTAATAGTTTCAGATTTCACATTTTTGTCTTTAATCCAATTTGAGTTGATTTTTGTATATAGTGAAAGGAAGGGGTCCAGTTTCAATCTTCTGTGTATGGCTAGCCAGATATCCCAACATCATTTATTGAATAGGAAGTCCTTTCCCCATTGCTCGTTACTGTAGACTTTGTCAGTGATCAGATTAGTTGTAAGTTTGCAGCTTTATTTCTGGGTTCTATAACCTGTTCAGTTGGTCTATGTGTCTGTTTTTGTACCAGTACCATGCTGTTTTGGTTACTGTAGCTTTGTAATACAGTTTGAACTCAAGGTAGTGTGATTCCTCGGGCTTTTTTCTTTTTGCTTATAATTGCTTTGGCAATGCTCTTTTCTGTTTCCATATGAATTTTAGAATTTTTTTTTCTAATTCTGTGAAAAATGTTATTGGTCATTTGATAGAAATAGCATTGAATCTGTAAATTACTTTGGTCAGTATGGCCCTTTTAACGACATTGATTCTTCCTATATATGAGCAAAAGAATGTTTTTCCATTTGTTTGCATTGACTTTAATTATTTTTAGCAGTGTTTTGTAATTCTAGTAGAGATCTTTCACCTCCCTTGTTAGCTGTATTCCTAGATATTTTATTCTTCTTGTGGCTATTTTGAATTAGTCCAGGATATCTTTAAACTGTCCACTATTTCCTTGTCATCACTGTCGATCTAATTCATCATCTCTGGAGATGCACAAATAAAATAGCACCTTTAATGATTTTAGTATATTTTAATTGTTCTTTTAAAATATATTCCTTATACCTTCAAACACTGTGAACTTTAAAAAATGTGAATCCGAACATGTCACTAGGACACACACACACACACACACCTTAATCAATGGTTTCCTGTGTTTTGCAGATAAAGACCGAAAATATTAATAAGGCCTATAAGGCCATGCATGGTCTGTCTCCTACCACTTCCCATACCTCGTGTGTACCCCATGACTCCCTTTTCTCCTCTATAGTCACAGTGACTTCTTTTGGGTCTCTAACCATGTCATGGTTACTCCCTTCCCAGGATCTTTGAATATACTTTTCCCTTCGACCCACTGACCCTAATTTTTCATGCTAATTTTTAGATCTCAATTCAACTAAAATTTCTAAGGGATCCTTTTTGGCTGCCTTGGTGGCTCATATCTCCCAGTTATACATACTGTAGCACTTCCTAAGTATAACAAGGAGCAATACGTGAAATTTGGTCTACTATTTTATCCCAAGTTCTTAGCACAGTGTCTGCACCTAATAATGGTAGTACAGATAATTATTATTAAATATTTGATGAATATTTGATAAATAACTTATATTCATGCTGGCTAGAATGTATCTTCAAGTGTTTCATATGAGATAGATGAGATAGCATGAGCAGTTCACTTTCTCTGCCCTATCCACATGATTAACAAACTACCTGACATATATATATGTGTGCGTGTGTATGTGTGTGCACACGTGTGTGTGTGTACAGACATCTGGCATAAATATATATATTTATATGCCATACATGTATATTTATATGCCATACATATATATTTATATACATACATACAATATATGTATGCATATATATATGTATGTATTAATTCCTTTCTCTGTAGAAATATATTGGATTTTATTTTACTTTCTCCTGCACTTATTATGCAGAGGTTTCAAAAGTCATTTTTACTCTTTGGAGTAAAAGGGTTGTCTTCCTCCCCTTTTGATTATAGAATTATTATTTTTTTCTCGAAATGTTTTACAAACTCACTGGGATAAGATGAGGTATTTGTCTTTTTTTAATTTTATTTTTCCATAAGTTATTGGGGTACATGTGGTATTTGGTTACATGAGTAAGTTCTTTAATGATGATTTGTGAGATTTTGGTGCACCCATCACCCATGCTGGGTGGATGCACCATATTTGTAGTATTTATCCCTCGCCCCCCTTCCATTCTTCCACTCAAGTCCCCAAAGTCCATGGTATCATTCTTATGCCATTGTGTCCTCATAGCTTAGTTCCCACATATCAGTGAGAACATATGATGTTTGGTTTTCCATTCCTGAGTTACATCACTTAGAATAATAGTCTCCAATGTCATTCAGATCACTGCAAACACTGTTAATTCATTCATTTTTATGGCTGCATATTATTCCATCATATATATTTGTGTGTATATACATATATATACATATATATGTATACACACACACACACACACACACACACACATATATATATATACAGCTTCTTTATCCACTCGTTGATTGATGGGCGTACGGGCATTTGGGTTGGTTCCACGATTTTGCGGGTGTGAATTGTGCTGCTATAAACATGCATGTGCAAGTATCTTTTTCTAATAATGACTTCTTTTCCTCTGGGTAGATACCCAGTAATGGGATTGCTGGATCAAAAGGTAGTTCTACTTTTAGTTCTTTAAGGAATCTCCACACTGTTTTCCATAGAGACTGTACTAGTTTACATTTTCACCAGCAGTGTAGAAGCGTTCCCTGTTCACCGCACCCATGCCAACATCTACTGTTTTTTGATTATGTACATTCTTGCAGGAGTAGGGTGGTATCGCATTGTGATTTGATTTGCATTTCCCTGATCATTAGTGATGTTGAGCATTTTTTCATATGTTTGTTAGCTATTTGTATATCTTTTTTTGAGAATTGTCTATTCATGTCCTCAGCCCACTTTTTGATGTGATTATTTGTTTTTTTCTTACTGATTTGTTTGAATTCATTGTAGATTCTGGATATTAGTCCTTTGTCAAATGTATAGATTGTGAAGATTTTCTCCCACTCTGTGTGTTGTCTGTTTACTCTGCTGACTGTTCCTTTTGCCCTGCAAAAGCTCTTTAGTTTCATTAGGTCCCAGCTATTTATCTTCATTTTTGTTGCATTTGCTTTCGGGTTCATGGTCGTGAAATCCTTGCCTAAGCCAATGTCTAGAAGGGTTTGTCTGATGTTATCTTGTAGAATTTTTATGGTTTCAGGACTTAGGTTTAAGTCTTTAATCTATCTTGAGTTGACTTTTGTATAAGATGAGAGACGAGGATCCAGTTTTATTCTCTGACATGTGGCTAGCCAATTATACCAGCACCATTTGTTGAAAAGGGTGTCTTTTCCCTACTTGATGTTTTTGTTTGCTCTGTCAAAGATCAGTTGGCTGTAAGTATTTGGGTTTATTTCTGGGTTCTCTATTCTGTTCCATTGGTCTATGTGTCTATTTTTATACCAGTACCATGCTGCTTCAATGACTATGGCCTTATAGTATAGTTTGAAATCAGGTAGTGTGATGCCTCCAGATTTGTTATTTTGCTTAGTCTTGCTTTGGCTATGTGGGCTCTTTTTTGGTTCCATATGAATTTTAGAATTGTCAATAAATGTGATATACCACAAAAACAGAATTAAAAACAAAAATCACGTGATCATCTCAATAGATGCAGAAAAAGCATCTGACAAAATCCAGCATCCCTTCATGATTAAAACTCTTAGCAAAATCCACATACAAGGGACATACCTTAATGTAATAAAAGCCATCTATGAGAAACCCACAGCCAACATAATACTGAATGGGGAAAAGTTGAAAGCATTCCCTTTCAGAACTGGAACAAGACAAGGATGCCCACCCTCACTACTCCTCTTCAGCCTAGTACTGGAAGTCTTAGCCAGAGCCATCAGACAAGAGAAAGAAATAAAGGGCATCCAAATCAGTAAAGAGGAAGTCAAACTGTCACCGATTGCTGACGATATGATCATTTACCTTGAAAACCTTAAGGACTCCTCCAGAAAGCTCCTAGAGCTGATAAAAGAATTCAGCAAAGTTTCTGGATACAAGATTAATGTACACAAATCAGTAGCTCTTCTATACACCAACAGTGACCAAGCAGAGAATCAAATCAAGAACTCGACCCCTTTTAAATAGCTACAAAAGAAATAAAATACTTAGGAATATACCTAACAAAGGAGTCAAAAGACCTCTACAAGGAAAACTACAAAACACTGCTGAAAGAAATCATAGACAACACAAACAAATGGAAACACATCCCATGTTCATGGATGGGTAGAATCAATATTGTGAAAATGACCAATACTGCCAAAAGCAATCTACAAATTCAATGCAAACCCCAACAAAATACCACCATCATTCTTCACAGAATTAGAGGTATTTGTCTTGATAAACGCTTTCAGTTTTATAAGTCAAACTTTTTTTCAGTTGTATAATGTTTTCCTAAATTATATTTTTAATTGATTTCCCTTTGTTATTTATTGATTTTGATCTCTTTCTTAGGAACATAAATTTTCTCAATCTATTTTCCACATGTCTTTTCTTGTGGTTTATAACTGTCTTCTTCTTTTCTTGTTATTCTATATCAGGGAAAATGTCCTGGGTTTGTCCTCTATATCACGAATTCAGTTTCTGTAATACCGTTACTATGCTTCACTGTTTGTAAGACTGTATTTCAGCCTGCAATATTAAATCTATTGTCATGTTTCCTTGTCTCACTGCACTCTCTATACATTTTTTTCTGACTTTAAGTCAACTCAGCGTTCATCATAGTGTCTCACGTTTTCATCATCACTTTCAACTCTCTTACTGAGACGATAATAGAGTATCAGCTTTCCAAAACTGATTTCAGTTCATGTGGTCCATCTTTCTAAAAAAAAGCTGGGTTTTGGTTTTGTTTTGTTACTGTTGTTTTTGCAACTTGCTACATCCATGAAATTAAAAATAGAAAATTTTGTCTAGTGTTATGTCAGTATCAGGTCTAAATCTGTGAAATTTTATTTCCCTTAATAGTCATGCAACAGCCATTAGAATAATTTTCTTAATTTGCAAAACAAGGAGATAAGTGGTTAGCCTGTCCTGTATCTGATGCAAAATAGTTTTTATTGTTATTGTTTTGTAATTATATCTGTTTTGTGTAAGATTTCTGGTTTGAGGAAGTCATATTTATTTCACTGCCCAATTGTATGCCCATGGGGAGATCTGTTTTTGGATAGTGTTAAGAATTATTTAAGTCCTTCATTAGCAGAGATAGCAAATAAAAAACTACATTCTCCAAAGAACATCGTTACCACAACTCTCTCAACTAGGAATGGGATTGATTGTAAAATGAGAGGCATTAATGAGACAGATTAGGGAGGACAGGTAATACAGTCCTCTCTTATTTTTCAGGAAGACAGTGAAAAAATTTAACAGATAGATGAACAGAAATCCTTAAGGTCCCTTTCCTTTTTCCCTCCATATCTCTGTTGTCCACACTGCATTCTGCCTCATAGCCTCATTTATGCTTTAGTAAATAGAAATTCTTCCTCAAATTCTGCAGATTAAAGATTTTTAGTTTCCAATGTTGTTGAAAGTTTGAAACTTTTTCGAGAATGTAATGTGTATTGCAATGGTTGCAGAACAAATTAATAGTCATTATCTGCCATCATAACTTGAAAATTCTTAAATAATACCTGCAATGTTCTTAAGGGGAAAAGTATTATATGTTCCAAAGACTAATTGACAAAGACTCTTTTGGTACACAAATAAATGAAATTTTGTAGACCACCTACCAATTTTTAAAATTGTTTTGTACTTTCAATTGCATTTTAAATTCCAATAATATTTTATGTTTATATTTGCACTCCAAAATACCAACTAGGATGTTAATATCTACTCTAGATGACAAAATATATATTCATAGACAATGTCAGAGTTTTTGTTTCATTTCATGAGCTGTGCACAGATTAATTTAGTTAATATTGTGGGAAAATTAATATGTTTGATCCATGTGAGTCATTGGTGATGAAGTAATACTATTTAATAATGTATTTTTATGCTGGCTATTTTTTATTTGAACTCACTAGATAGAAGGCGAAGCTTCCTATAAGTTAAACTTCAATTTTTGTCTGTATTTATTTATTCCTCTGTGCTAACTGCCATTGATTATCTCTTTATTAATAGGAGAAAATGTTGCACTACTCTTACCAAGGTAGTAACAGCACGTATCCTAAAAGAAAACCCCTATCACTTTGATTTAGCTCAACTGTATGCAACATTGTTGTGAGTATAATTATTCAAAAGTCACAGCTGTTGTTCACTGATTTAGGGGACAAAAAGTATTTTTCCTTCAAACTTATTTTGTTTTCTGAAGGATATTGGTAGAATAAGTGTATATTTATATATACTGTCAACAATTTCAGAGCTTTCAGAAACAGATTTTTTATGGTATAGACATAAATGAAATTTACTTATAATGTATACCTTATCGGATTAACAACAGAATTTGAGAAGTCCTATAAAAATTGCGCCAGTGTGGTGACCTATGCCTATAATCCCAGCACTTTGGGAGTCCACGGCGGGCAGGTCGCTTGAGCCCAGGAGTTCAAGACCAGCCTGGGCAACATAGTATAACCCCATCTCTACAAAAAATACAACAATTAGCTGGGCATGAAGTTGCATGCCTATAGTCCCAGCAACTCGAGAGGCTGAAGTGGGAGTATCACTTGAGCCTGAGAGGTCAAAGCTGCAGTGAGCCGTGGTCACAGCACTACACTCCAACCTGGGGTCTGAGTGAGATCCTGTCTAAAAAAAATAATAGATAAAATAAGAAAAGCACTACAATATAAAGAAAAAAACATTACAAATTGTTGAATCTATAAGAAGGTAACATAACAATGACCTGGTGTAATAGTTTCTGTCATTTACTAGATATTAAATTTTGCTGAAGAAAAATGTAAACAAAAAGGTCTTATGAATCTTATTAGATAATAAAATGAAACTTGGAGAGATGCTTTGATCTGCTTAAAATTTTTTAATATTATTAATATAATAATCCCAAATGGACTTAGACAATTTTCATACATTTATTGATGTATTCACCTTATTTATTTAAACATATATATATACTGAGCACTTAATATGTACCAGACATACTTTTTTTAAGTGGCAGATAATAGTAGACAAAAAAAATACAGGTAAAAATCTCTGACCAAATTAAGCTTATACTTTAGTAGGAAAAAGAGAAAACAAATAAAAAGGTAAGATATTTATGTTTATGTTGATAAACGCTAAGAAGAAAAGTATAGGTATTGCAGATTGGGTTGGGGGGAGTGTGAGTGTTCAAATTAAAATATCATAAGACCTTCTTCCCACCTAGACGAGATCACAAAATACTTTCTCATGTCCATGTAATTTTGCCTGCCAACAAAGTTAGCATTTTTGTTACAAACAGCTTTGAATTCGTTCACTTGATTTAGCGAATGGTTGATGAAGAGGCCAGAGTTTCATATTACAGAATAGGGCGTGCATACTATACATGGAAGACTTGTAAGTGCAGGTGTAGTTAGTGATTCACCTAGACCAGAGGAAAATTTCAATATTGCTCCTGTGGGGAAATAAAAAATTCTTATTTTGTGCAACATCATTTCCCAATGGCCAGCCAGACTTGAGTCAGCTGCTAAGTGCACATCAAAATAACTACACAAATTGCTGCATGGGCTTCATTGGTATTCACAAAATGACCTTTGGAAAATATCTACCCAAAACAATTTTGGTTTTGGCATATTTACTACCATCCTGTCATTTCCAAAAGTAATTGGAAAATATGATCAGTTATTTCTAGACACAATTCCTGTTTCATGACATTAAGATCATTTAGTCTGTATTCAAAATGCCATTCTCTTTGCCATCACAGAAGGATATATATCTAATTAATCCAAAAGCTGCATCCGAAAATTTAAATATAACTTAAGGTAAAAGGAGACTAAAATCTAGCTTCATTTTACATTGTATGACAGTGAAACTTTATGTGATAATCCACATGAATATGAAAATTCAAGCTTTTATAAACATGAATATCTTATATGGGTCAAAGTATAATTTTACTTTAAAAATATGACATGAAAATATAAAATGAATGTATATTAAAGATTTTATTCAGCTTATTAATTAATGAGGTAACCACTTAGATGGTAACACTGACTCCAAAAGCATTTGATAAAAAGGGGTTTACATAGTTTATCAAGATAGCCATCTAAAAACTTTAGAGTAGGACTGCCAGGTCAGATACAAATTCATTATTGTCATTTGGGGCAATAAAGTAGCAACCACGGAGGTTATATTTTTATCAGATAGAAATTTTAAGTTAGCTAGTAACTTCATAGTGTCTGAGTTGTGATCAAGTTGTAAATAGCAAATAGGTATATTCTCCTGAAAAAATATATAATCCTCAGGTGCGCTCATTAAACAATGTCTGAGTAATATTGAAAAGATATGCCACCCACCTTTTTTGTCCTTTTTTCCAGTTTTAATAATTTTTAATCGTCCCCATGTTTTGGTCATAAATAATCTTTGAACATTGATTAGAAAAAAATGGCTGACCTCATTATAGTTTAATCTGATTATTTTCACAGATACAACGGTGGTGTTAGCTACATATGCTTCCTGGATTACATAGTATTCAGCAACTAGCAAAAATATTTTGTTTGTAAATTGTATCAATGAGTCCAGGGTTGAACCACTTAAAAGGATCTATGGCCTTTTTATTCATATAGGGGTTAGGATGTCAAGGCCATGAAAATCTCTCCCCCAGATTTCACTGTGGTAATAACCACAGATTTAATAAAGTTCTCTCTCCTCAAGGCCCCCCAAATATACTAAAGTTCCTTGCCTGCCAGGAAGTGACCTTCCTTATCACTTCTGAAGCTGAAGTCTTGTAAGACAGGTACCAGTACAGTTTCCTGCGAGGGTTTTGTAGTCATTTGTTGCCTTTGTTCCCTAATGATGGGCTTGCTGTACCAGACTAAAAATGATTCTTTCCCAAATATAGCATTGGACAATCAATTTGTCTAATTTGAGGTAAAATGGAGACAAATTCTTATTGAAACAATGAATATAACTATTGTCACAAAACAAAAAAAAATCAGTAAAAACATTTGTTTCTGAATTATGAGATTTCGATTCCATTTTAAAATGTTTCATTTCCATTTATAAAAGCATAAAATTCTAAACTGGGAGGAAAAGATCAGGAAAGATCAATGACTCCTTATATACTTATCAGTAGAAAAAGCATTAAAACATCAGCCATATTCCAAATTTCATGGGTATAGTTCATAAAATAAGAATAGATTTTACATTTTTAAATGTTCGAAAAAAATTAAAATAGTAATAACATTTTGTGACATGAAAATTATATGAAACTTCAATGTTCATAAATAAAGTTTTATTGAACACAGCCACACATACTCATTTACATATTGTCTATGGCACTTTTGTACTACAATGACCGAGTAGTTGTGACAGAGACCTGATAACATGCAAAGCCTAAAATAATCACTATCTAAAACTGCAGAAAAATAAATGTGCTGACTTCCGTTCTAGAGCTCAATAAAGTCAACACAAAGCACTGAAAATAGTTCTGGTAAGATACTGAATCTCTGTTCTCTGAGCGAATTACACAGACAGTAAACTTTTTAGTACTCCTTATTAAAAGAAGACTAAAAACTTCATGATCAATTGTCATTGTAATAGAAAGTCAAATAAAAGATTCACAAGCTAATTTCTTTTAAAATTATGAATAAGCCCATCGACATTGCACAAAAGTTGTCAAAATGTTAATAATTTTCAATGCTTCTCTTTAGCTCCATTATATGCAATTATTGCAAACCAAGACAAAATTTCCTTGCTTCAAAAATTCTGCAAATTTCTATAATATCCAGGTTTTGTCTTTCATTATCCTCTTTCAGATTTTGGAACAGATATCATAATTTACATACTACTCTCATTTTTCTTTGATAAACAGAACTTATCCTAT
Organism: Homo sapiens; assembly: GCF_000001405.40. Taxonomy (NCBI): domain Eukaryota; kingdom Metazoa; phylum Chordata; class Mammalia; order Primates; family Hominidae; genus Homo; species Homo sapiens. The sequence continues at coordinate 34,514,811 of NC_000023.11, forward strand.
TATCTCGCATACATTCTTGTGCTTTTCTGCTATCATTGATCTCAGTAGAATCTCAGTTTCACACAGTAACTATATCTTTTAACCAGATTAACTAACTTCTTTTTCACAAACACACACAACAAACATGGAAGTGGATAATTGATAATCATCTATCATACAACACAATTAGCAGATAAGCAAAGCTCACAAGCTCATATAACATGGCTAACTACCACTCACATAACTTATACACCTTCAGGTAAGCAAAGAATCTTGGAAATTAAATAATTTCCAATTAAATTCCAAATTAAACAAATACAGACATCCATAAGACAAAACATAATTACTGCTGACATAAAAACTTTGTCAGAAGAATAAACACATAGTTTCGTATTTTTCTCAATCCTAAATATCGTATAGAAATACATTTGCTTAACTAATCAATAAATTGATACAAAAAGTTTTGGAAGTTCAGAATTACTGGTCTTTTCATAAGAAAACAAACCAAATGTAATTTAAAAATGAGATGCATTGCGGCCAAAAAACACATGAAAAAAGGCTTAACATAACTGATCATTAGAGAAATACAAATCAAATCCACAATTAGATACCATCTCATGCCAGTCAGAATGGTGATTATTAAAAAGTCAGGAAACAACAGATGCTATTGAGGTTGTGGAGAAATAGGAACGCTTTTACACTGTTGGTGGGAATGTAAATTAGTTCAACCATTGTGGAAGACAGTGTGGTGATTCCTCAAAGATTTAGAATCAGAAATACCATTTGGCCCAGCAATCCCATTAATGGGTGTACACCCAAAATAAAATAAATCATTCTATTATAAAGATAGATGCACGCTTATGTTTATTGTGGCACTATTCACAATAGTAAAGACATGGAATCAACCCAAATACCCATTAATGATAGACTGGATAAAGAAAATGTGGGCCGGGCGCGGTGGCTCACGCTTGTAATCCCAACACTTTGGGAGGCCAAGGCGGGCGGATCACGAGGTCAGGAGATCAAGACCATACTGGTTAACACGGCGAAACCCCGTCTCTAATAAAAATACAACAAAATTAGCCGGGCGTGGTGGCGGGCACCTGTAGTCCCAGCTGCTCCGGAGGCTGAGGCAGGAGAATGGCGTGAACCCGCAGGCGGAGCTTGCAGTGAGCCGAGATCGCGCCACTGGACTCCAGCCTGGGCGACAGAGCAAGACTCCGTCTCAAAAAAAAAAAAAGAAAAAAGAAAATGTGGTACATATACACCAATGAATACTATGCAACCATAAAAAGGAACGAGATCATGTCCTTTGCAGGGACATGGATGAAGCTGGAAGCCATTACCTCAGCAAACTAACTCGGGAACAGAAAACCAAACACCACATGTTCTCACTTGTAAGTGGGAGCTGAACAGTGAGAACACATGGACACGGGGAGGGCAGCAACACTTGCTGGGGCCTGTTGCGGGAGGGCGAGGGTAGGAGAGCATTAGGAGAGCATGCTGGGCTTAATACCTGGGTGATGGGTTGATAGGTGCCGCAGGCCACCATGGCACACCTGTGACATGACAAACCTGCACATTCTGCACATGTACCCCAGAACTTAATTTTAAAAAAAGATGAATTGATTATTTTATACATACCAGTTATAAAAATTAGAGGAAAGTAATATAGCTGTATTCAAACCAGTCTAATTTGGGCAAAACTTTACTTTGAATACATGAACTTAGTTTCTTGTGTAAACAAGCTCACAATTTCTATTATAAAAGTTTACTTTTCTCTTAAAAAGCTGGTACATTTAATGTCTCAAATACTTTATTTTCTGCAAATCTCTGGGGTAGTTAAATCTAGAGATGCACTTCCAAATCTCTGTAAACCCATTAAGATAAAGCCCCATTAATTTTGGAGACTGTATAATCTAATTCAATAATACCCTCCAGAGATATGAAAATATTTCAAATCGGAAAAGGCTTTTCTCAGTTGGATACTCTGACACTGACAGAGTTTACAGTTTCATTTCTCCACTTCACCCAAAATTCATAAATAAACATAGACATATAAAAAGTATGTCTTCAGAAAACGAACTGCTGTTTTGGGCACTATGCCAAATTGCTACAAGGTGACTTTTGTTTATGGCTTCCGTGGAGTGAGACAAGCAGGTGGTAACCAGGGGCTCCTCACCACTGGGCCCAATGGGGTTAGGGGCAGAAGAGCCAAGACCCTGGCTGCAGTCCAAGAGAGGTCACCAATAACATCATTTTGGAAACACCTTTTCATTGGACATTGAAGGTTCATGCCGAGGCAGCCCCTATAACCTTTTATTCTGTAATTCCCATTGATTTCTATCTTTTACTACCCATGTTGTTCTGGCGGCTTTGTGAGGCTTATTCTGCCTTACTTCTGGTGCACTATCTCTTGAAAACAAAAGCCACAGTATATGCATCTGAGACAGAGATTCACAAGGGACCTTTCTACTAGAAAAAGAGAAGATGGTGCTGACACATACTTGCTTGAATTTACTAATGAGGATTCTGAGAAGGAAACGACTCTGACCAGTGCAAGACAGAACACCAATTTAGAATTAAGATTTTAGTTTCCGGTTCAGCCTTTATTATGATATCCAATGACAGGTACTGCTAGATTGTTTTCGGGGATGGTTGGCTTCAAGAATGGGGTGAAATATGGCTTATTAAATTTACCACCAGGTTGATTTTCCAAGCCATTTGTGAAGCTGTTTCTAAAGGATAACCTCTGGAGTCTTGTGTTCAGATTTCATAGCTAGTTAGTTTAAAGAATTAATTTTACCATCTCATCAATTTTATAATATTTATTGTTAAATATCTTTGATTAAAATTTGAAGGATTATGATACTATGCTCCATGTGTGTTCTGATTCAAGGATTCATGGTTGGTATGAAAATAGAATTGGATTTAGAGTTGAATGCTATTAACACTACTCAGAGCAACTGTTACATAACTAAAGCATTTTTCTTATGCAAAATACAGGTACATAGATATTCTATAGGTAATATTCAATAAGTTGACTGGATGATAAACAGTTTATCTCTCTCTTCAGTAGTGAATAACTGAATCTAACAGGATAATAATGAAATGAATAACAAAGCTCATAAAACATTTACTAAAATGGTGTTTTCTCATGTTTTGCTTTACATACTATTTTAGCTGATTCCTTCTGATTTAACCCAGGTAATTTTATTGTTATATTTTTACCATCATGATTGGCAATATATGGGGAATGTTACATACTACACTATTTTTAACTCACCTAGAAAAAAGAAAGCCAGATTCACATGGAATATGTTTTGGTTAAGAAAATGCAATGCTGAATAAATGATTTTTTTTTGCTGATCATTACATGCTGATCATTACAATCTGTTTGCAGAAATTGGTTTGATTCATAATATTATCAATCTCTTTAAGCAAAATATAAGTGAATTATGTGATCATAATAATAATAAATGATCCTTCTGTTTTTCTAAAAAAATAAATACCTACTTCTGGGGTAAATAAGCCAGTGAAATTTAGGAATTATTAATAATCTAACAAAGAGAAGCTTCTGTGCCTACATAAGATACTTAAGAATAACTGCAAGAAAAGATGTACGAAATATATATGAGTGACATTGCTAAAAGGTAATGAAATACTTCAATACATTAAATTAATGGTTAACAGGATTCAATATCTAATATTCAATTGTTCAAAATGCAATTCCAACAAATATCCAAAAAGTATTTTAGTGGATCCTGAGATCCCTGATCTTGTGATAACTGAAAATAAAACTTACAGGAAATGGCGAAGGGGCTGGCCAAGTTGCCCCTAAAAAGAAAAAAATAAAAGGTGGAAGAAGGCATCTATTCTCTCATAAAATGAGACTTGATGCCAATCACCAGTAATTAAAATGTGCTGTACTAACACAGAGATAGACAAGTGAAGATGGACACAACCTTTTGATAATGTCCTATTTCATAAATATGGGGGGGTAGGTGTCACAGGTGTTCATTCTATTATTGTTTTATAATAACATATATGTTACATATATTCTTTATGTTTATTATTTATCTATTGCTGCACATTACCCCAAGTCTTAGTGGGTCAGTCATTCAGGAGAAGCTTAGTGGCTTGGATCTGCACTCGGGGACTTTCATGAGGCTTGGTCAGATGTCAGCCAGGGCTACTGTCATCTTAAGAATTGACTGGAGATGAAAAATCTATCTGCAAGGTTCCTCACACTCTATGCTGGTGATGGCTATTGGCAGGAGGCCTGTTTTTCCCTGTTGCACCTGTCAATGATCTGCTTGAGTTTTCTCACGATGTATCGGTTGGTTTCCCCTAGAAGAAGTGATACAAGAGAAAGCAAGATGGAAACCACAATGCCTTTTCTGATCTAGACTTGGCGAGTCACACACAATCAAACACCTATTCAATATGGGAGAGAAATAAACAAGGGCATATATACCTAGAACATGGGTCACTGGGGGGCGGGCATCTTGAATATTGTTTTCAACAGTATGTTTCATATATTACATTCACAAAATTAATTTAAAAAATGTTTCTTCTGGGTAACATCAGGAAGACCAATTAATGTTTCATATATTTTATCTCCCTAATTATGCTGAGTGCTCTGAAAGAAAGAATGTAACTGTTACAATAATTTTGAGGCATTACCTCACTCACAAGAAAAAATGCCACAGAGCTTATATACAATATTTATTTATGAACTAAATTTTATGAAATAAATTTACCTGAAATAGTTGGGTACCTTGGTAAAACAGGGAAAGTCTCATATCTTACATAGCCATATGTTAGTATAATATTACAGAGAGTATTTGCAGCTTTTTTGTTTGGGGTTTCAACACAAATTTTGCTGCCTAACAATTCATCATTTTTGAGGAATGTTTCATTTATTCCATCTGTAATCTATAGTAAGTGAATACAATAAAATGATAATATTGCATTACTAGGTAAACTAACTTTGTATCGAAACACTAATATATTCAAATTTGAAAGGAACGTTGCAATAGAAACATGCTGTTATTGTGTGTCCAAAGAATGATTTAGCAAGTCTCAATATTTATTTCGAAAACATTAAAGTTAACATTATTTCCCTTTCAAAAATGAATACAATTATTAAGAGTTTGCATAGTTAATGGAATTTTGCATACCCCACATAGCATGTTGATCAGATAAACCTGATTAAGACTATGTAGTTTAGTAATAACTTTTCTATGTTGATATAGAAGAACCGTCATCTATAAGTCTTCATGAATTCTTTAGGCAGTCATTTTATTTCAATAAATTAATTTATTCAATGACTATTAACTAATAAAGTCATCAATTTAAAAGTGAAGAAATACATAAACTTGTTCTAATCAACTGCATCACCTTGCATTAAATCTGAGAAAATAAAAACTATAGGGGAGAGCACCATTTACCTAAAATCAGTTAGGAAGTTTTTGAGAGTGAAGATTAGATTACAATTTAATAATAAGATTGGACATTATGCTAGGTATTTCTGAGATGCAAAAAATTTTCTGCTGCATTCCAGATATAAAACAATTCAACAAGGACACTTACAGAGCTCTAATTATGGTCCAGGCACTATAATTTTAAAAATGAACAGAATTAAAATCCTGCTTTCCAGGAGATGAAAGACATGATACTGACATGAAGAATAGTAATATTTACAAATAATATATATGATTAGGAGACTTGCAAACAATAACTACTATAAAAATACAAATGTGGAAAGAAATGTGTGCCTGAATATTTGCAAGGAAAGTCTTCAACGCAGATAGGATATATGAATTGGGATTTTTGGTGGATTAGAAAAATTTGGATTGTTGCAAGATAGATTTTTGAAGGACAATGACATGTCAGATGTTAATGAGGCAATTGGTAGTGGGTGTTGTCATTGAGGAAGAGGGCAATTGGTGATTTAGGCACATGCATCAATTTTATTTGTCACATTTGACAACAATTTTGCTATTAACCGTTTTTTGTTTTCTTTGGAAACCTGTTTGAAATAGTTATTATCCTGTTTTAGCAATAAGCTGTTTCTTAGAATTCTGTCTAGCACATGGGAAACACTCAATAAATGTTGCTAAAGATGACTCTAAATTTCAGAAGATGGAAGGCCTTCAACTTATAAAAACAAATGCCAGTGTGCATATATATATGTATATATTTGTATTTGTTGTTCGTCATTTTTTCCTGTTTTTCTTCTAAAATAATTTAAAATCTTTTGTTAAGCTCCAAAATTGTTGGTCTTTATAAATTGAGTATACGTTCATTTTTTTTCTCTTTGGTAGATGAACCATTATATCACGTCTACTTAAGTAAAAAAAGATATGATTCTCTCATATATCTTGTAAAAAGATTTAAAGTAAAGGAGTATAAGGAAAGAAAGGCAAAATAAAGATGGAAGGAAGGGCAAAGTTTGATTTGCATAAAGATATTATTTATTTATTTTCTATCTACTTTTTTTTTTTTTTTTTTGACAGGGCTTCACTCTGTCACCCAGGCTGGAGCACAGGGGCACAATCTCGGCTCATTGCAGCCTCCACCTCCTGGTTTCCAGTGATTCTCCCGTCTCAGCCTCCCAAATAGCTGAGACCACAAGCGTGCACCACCATGCCAGGATAATTTTTGTGTTTTTTGTAGAGATGTGGTTTCACCCTGTTGTCCAGGGTGGTCTCAAACTCCTGACCTCAAGTCATTCGCCCATTTCAGCCTCCCAAAGTGCTAGGAATGGAGGCGTGAGCCAGTGCACCTGGCCCCTATCTACTTTCAAAACAAGATAAACATAATAAAATCTACTTACCTTGTACCATCTAATATTAAGTGAAAAGGGAAAATATTGTCTTTGTGTTAAGCATGCTCTGTCTCTTGGATTGTAAGAGGTTCTAGGGATTTGGAGGCTGATAAAAGAGAAAGGTATGTCCATGAGATGGCAGTAGAACACAGAAGCTATACAGGGTGATAGGTCTGCATTCAGAGAACGTCCTTCACAGCACAAGACTGTCCAGAAGCTACTGGCACAGGTCAATACTCATAAGGTGAGGAAGACATGGGAACTCCCTCAGGAAAGGGAGTTTGGAGAGGGGGCTTACATGTGTAGGTGATATCACTCAGCAGTGCTGAGTCTCTTGGTCAAAGAGCTCTAGAAGGCAGCAATGGCTTGGGATCGTTTAACCTCAAGATTTACCTAAGCTGTGTCTAGCAGATGTTGGCTGAGGTTTCATGAGGTATGCAAAGCGGGTAGGCTCAAAATGGCTAAAAATCTGCTTCTTTGGGTTATTGTTAAAATAAATGGAATGTATAAATATTTGGGTTTGGTTCCAGGGGCCTTTTGAGCTAGCAGGTCTCAGCCTGCAGTGAAGAAATAAATGATACACAGAGTCCATCTTTGGTTCATTTATATAGGTTAGATATTCTGCCTTGCATTGGAGGAGCCATGCTACAGGAGAGGCTGGCTACAGAAACCATCTAGTACCCCAAATCTCAAAGGCCTTGTTCATCCGGTAAAGTTACATTAAACCAGCTTGAATTTTTTCAAGTTGATCATATTTTATAAACTAGTTCACTTTACTGTATGAGATGAGAAAGATTATGATATGCTTATGATGGCCAATTCATGTTGTAACTTGGAAGTAATTATTTTAGTTGTAAATGTCGTTATAGCTATATAGTTATATATGTGCACATATTTATACATACACAAGTGTTTTAAAGAAAGAGGAAGGGACAGATAGAGGGAATATTATCTTTAAATAGTATAAATGGTCTTACTATCAAGATTTTGCTTTGAGACGGAACATGTAATAGATATTTTAAAAGGATAAAAATAAAAGATCAGGTGACATTAGAAATAGATATCACCAAACATGTAATTTGTCCAGAATAAGGAAGGACTAAGTTAGCTTATTTAAATTAGAACTATGGATATGGGGTTGGAACATAGAGTTAAAAGATCTCAAGAGAGAAGGATATGCTTCATCAAATATTGACCCTAAGCTAAGACTATACAGAATTTGCATCATACCAGAAGAAGCACAGTGTAACGAGCACAGTCATTCCTCAGTGGGTTGTATGTAAGGACCAGTCAAGACAAGAAGAGAAGTAGACAGTGAAAACTGCACAAAAGTTAAAGTAATGTAACAAAAATCAATCGAAAATACCATGAATGAATATATAAAATGTTTCTTCTCTCTATAGAATTCAGTGAATTTAGTAAGGCTTTAAATTGCCATTCAAAATAAGCCAGTATATAAAAGCTTAGGTGATGATGGTTACAATAACTGCCTTCAGTGGATCAAATGGGCTCTTAGTGGACAAGGAATAGTTAATTCTACTTTCCAAATGAGTCACTTGTTAGTAGATTGTACTTTATATCCACTGAGATAATCTCACTCTAATTCTATTAGGTTTGAAGAATTCTAACTTATTCAGAATAATAATGTGAGGGGAAATTAACTCTGACACCTTTCAAGCTTAATTTTTTAAAGTAATTTTTGTAGTGATATTTTAGTGAGGAATAGTTTGTAAAGCATTCCTTTTTGAAGATAAGATATGGAAGAGCCTCTGAGGAAGATAAATAGTTAAAATATCCACTCATTCTGTGTGGTTGCCTGTAGTCAAATATAAATGAGTTCACTTCTGAAGTGATTGAGTTTCTTGTAGGTAAAATGTCCTTAAACAACATTGCCGGTGCTCTCCTGCTTATAGACAAAACTCAGCATCAACTATTTTATTTCAGTGGAATCCAATTTCATTTTAATTGAAATATATTATGTAAAAAGTTAATAATCCATTGAAGTTGCAATTTGCTAAATGGTACCCTGGTGGCTTAAATTGTCAACATAGCTTCTTAAAATATCGAATATACCACAAGGGAGTAATTTTTCCCTTGATGAAACCAATTCAGTATGTGGGTAACATTCTAGATATTGTTTGCCTATGAAGTCTAATCAGTTTCTTATAAAAGTTCTTTTAGTGAAAAAACAAATCAAAATCCAAGACTTGTAAGTAAAAGAGACATTTCTACCAATTCTTCAAATAGAAAACAAATATGCATTAAATTTCATTAACTAACACACACACAGACTAACACACACACACAGACACACACACACACACACACGCACACACACAAACTATTTGATCTTTGTCCCCACCTCCTGGTACAGAAATCCTAAACCCCTTGGAATTTTTGTGTGATAAAGGTAATAGGAATGTATTTTCTTTTAATGAGGTAGGACCCTAGATAGGTAGGACCATGGTAGGACCCTAGATAGCTGAAGGATAGGGTCGGTTGCTAGAAAGACCAACCCTTGGTTAAAAAGAAGCTTGTACTTACAGCCTCACCTTACTCACCTCTGGGGAAAAGAGTGGGGCGGAAGGTTGAGTTAATCACCAATGGCTATAATCATGCCTATGTAACGAAACCTCTGTAAAAGCCCCTAAATGACAGGCTTTGGGGAACTTCCAAATTGGTGAACACATTCACATGCCAGGAAGGTAGCATACTCCAATTCCATGGGGACAGAGGCTCCTATGCTTGAGACCCTTCTGCACCTCATTCTACGGACCTCTTAATTTGACCGTTCACTTCTATCCTTTATAATAAACTGTAATTGTAAATATAATATTTTCCTGAGTTCTGTGAATTATTCCAGCAATTTATCAAACTTGAGGAGGGGGGTTGTGGGAACCCCTGACTTCATAGCCAATTAGGACCAAAAAAGGTGGGATATTTATGTGTGTGTGTGTGTGTGTGTGTGTGTGTGTGTGTATGTGTAATGTTTTTGTCCACAGTTTCTGGCTCAAAACTCCCATAGGCCCTTTTACAGTCTTTTGTTATGATATCGAGGTGCTTTAGGCCTTAGGAGCAAGCCTCAAGAAATAGAATCTTTTACTTTCCCCTGTTTTCCTTTTACCTGCTCAAGATAAGACTCTAATCTGATTGTGGGTCAAGAGATCCTCATTACAGAGAGGGTCCTACTCTATAACCTGGAGGAAGGAATGCTTCACAGAGAGGCCAAGAAGAATCTGAAAAGACAGGCCTTGCTGAGTTTTCCCACTCAGTCTATTAGGATGAGACCATACTATTTTTGTCCAATCATATTTCTACATTGTTGCCTATCATGCCTATGTAATGAAACCTCCATTAAAACTCAGAAGAACTGGGTTCCTGGAGCTTCCAGAGAGCTAAACATGTGTAGGCTCCTGGAGGGTGGTGTAACCAGGGAGGGCATGAAAACTCTGGGTTCAGGGAGCTTCCAGATAGCTCAACATGTGGAGGCTGCTGGAGGGTTGTGCACCCAGGGAGGGCGTGAAAGCTCTGTGCCCTTTCCCTTACACCTCTCCCTATGCATCTTTTTATCTGCACCCTTTGCAATGTTATTATAAGACAGTGAATGTAAGTAAGTGTTTCCCTGAGTTCTGTGAGCCACTCCAGCAAATTAATCACACCCAAAGAGGGAATAGTAGGAACCCCAGCCTCAAGGCCAGACAGAATTTCTGAAGGCCCAGACTTGTGACTGTTAACTGAAGTTAGGAGAAGTCTTGGGAACTGAGTCCTCAATCTGTGCGATCTGACACTCTGTCTGGGTAGATAGTATTAGAATTGAATTGGTTTATACCCAGCTGGTGCCTGAAGCTTGTGGGGGTGGAAAATTCCCCACACATTTGGTCACAAAAGTTTTCTTCTCTGTTGATAACTGTTGTGGCCTAAGAGCAGAGGAAAAATGATTTCAGTTGTTTTTCCCAAACAAGTGGGTAAACAAGGAACCTGATACTTCTGACTGGCACTGAAATGACGGCAGTCTTATGTGACTTAGCCCGTATCCTATGAAGTCTGACACTAACTCTGGACAGTTAGCCTCAGATTTAAATTGAGTTGAGGACACCTAGTTGGTGTCAGAGAATTGAAGAAGTAATGTTGAAAAAATAAAAATCACATACTTTGTTTCTGGAAGGAAAAAATATCTCCCATGCTCTCTCTATATATGTATTAAAGTATTTTAAAGCATTTAGACCTGAGATTTAAGACCTAAAAGTTAAGATTTAAAATTTAATGGTCCTAAAACTTGCACTAAAATGATAAAATTGTTCTGTAGTCAAATGTAATTAATTTAGATTCCCTGTCTTAGGATGACGTAGAATCAGAATATTAACATTGGAAACATCTTAGAAAGGCATAGGGAATAGGCCAGGCGCGGTGGCTCATGCCTGTAATACCAGCACTTTGGGAGGCTGAGGCTGGCGGATCACAAGGTCAGGAGTTCGAGACTAGCCTGGCCAACATGGTGAAACCCTGTCTCTACTAAAAATACAAAAATTAGCCAGTCGTGGTGGCATGCGCCTGTAGTCCTGGCTACTCAGGAGGCTGAGAGAGAAGAATCACTTGAACCCAGGAGGCGGAGGTTGCAGTGAACCAAGACCACGCCATTGCACTCCAGCCTGGGCGACAGAGAGAGACTCCCTCTCAAAAAAAAAAAAAAAAAAAAAGGCATAGGAAATAACCTGACTGTGTCACAGATGCAGGTGCTTAAATAAAAAAGATTAAATTACTTGTTTGAATTAATATAGCTAGAATGCTTGGAACTGGAACTAGAGCTCAAAACTCCCACTCTATAGTTATTTGTCATCATTCTATGTTAGTCTTCATTGATATGTATAATATATTTTAAGACAGCACATATTTCACATATTTCATAACTTAATAACCACTTGAAAACAAATACAGTATCCAAATAAATTTCCAAAATTAGACAAAAATTCTTTCAGTCAAGATGACAGACCAAATATAGAGCCTTTTCTGTTCTTCCTCCTAGGACACCATTAAATGGCAGCAAATAAATAGAAAAAATACAAATACACAGCAGAAATAATGGAAGAACAGGGATTTCTATGAATTTTCTGCAAGACAGGATTTCATGGGCTCATGAAGCAATGGAGGAGCACAAAACTAGAATATACATGGAGGGCAATGTAGCCAAAGAGAAATTTGATCTTCCAATCAAAATCGGTAAAAAAATTACTCAAAAAATGAAAGTCTTAACCTATACAAGATAAAGTACTAACATTTGAAATGCCAGAAATATTAATTAGAAAAATGATAAAAATTGCAATATTCTTTTCCTGCTTACTGCTTCTCCCATGGACTATAGAAAAATAAGTTAGGCAGATGTGCCAACGCAAAAACTCTTCAGTGGCAAAAATATTTAATTAAAGGTGACACAAGGCATTGACTACCTCAGAAAAAGTGTGATTATACTCTCAGTGTATTCAATTCACTGCAATAAGACATAGAATAAACACAGAAAGAAGAATACCGAAGAATAATACCACTGAATTCTTTGCATTGAGATAATAATTTTTTTGTAATGGAGTAGAATACCACTGCCTCATTAAGATAATTTTTGTCATTAGGTGATTCTGTGAAGGTTTACTTACTCATCACTTAATTTTTCATTCACACCTAAAACCAACATTATTTCTTATCCCTGTATTAAACAATACTGGGACCAGGAATACTTTCTTTCTCTATCATAAATACTATACTGATACTAAGGAAAAGTATGTTAGCTCTCACACCAAGAACTGTCTGTCCCTCAATGATAAAAACAATTAACCAAATAAAAAGAGTTTCTATCAAGACTAACAGCTTGCTTATCAATATTTACTTCAAGCCCCTGCCTCACTGTGCCTACCAATAGAAAGCTATTATGTCAAAAACTCTGTCCACTCTCAACCAGTTCCCCACGTTGCAAGATTCACCTTAAAATCATCCGTTTCAGGCCTCTAAAAGCTACAAACATCCTTTCTTTATTTCACCGTTTTGAGACATTGCTAAGCCTCTGTTAAGGTGTTCTTTTTTACCACAGTAAATTTAATGAACTTAGATTTGCTTAATGAACAGGGATTTCTGGTGGTCTTCACAGAATGCTCAACCAAAGTATCCTGACATCAGTAACTACATAAACATTTGTTATTGCCTTGGTATATGCCAGGGATACCACTGCAATTTGAAAGAAATGATACTAAATAAGAGCCTTTACCCCAGCTTGAGGCACATCCTAGAATGAATCATTTTCAGGCATGAGGATCTTAATAGCAAAGTGTTATTCTGCTTTTCTTTTATGCTGGACCTGCCCTCACTTACGGGTTGATACAGTTTGGATCTGTGTCCCCACCCAAATCTCATCTCAAATTGTAATCCCCAGGATTTGAGGGAGGGACCTGGTGGGAGGTGACTGGATTATGTGGGGGGACTTCCCCCTTGCAGTTCTCATGATAGTGAGGGAGTTCTCACAAGATTTGGTTGTTTAAAAGTGTGTGGCACTTCCCCCTTCATTCTCTTTCTCTCCTGCTCCACCATGGTAAGACAGGCTTGCTTCCCCTTCACCTTCTGCCATGATCATAAGTTTCCTGAAGCCTCCCAGTCATGCTTCCTGTTAAGCCTGTGGAACTGTGAGTCATTTAAACCTCATTTTTTTCATAAATTACTCAGTCTCAGGTAGTTCTTTCTAGCAGTGTGAGAATGGACTAATCCAGAGGTATAATTTAAAACTTGGAAATAATTGACCAGATTCAGAGGAACTTTGGAAAACTGGCTCATCTTGACTCATCAGTTTGTATCCACTCTCTATTTCATTTTCTCCTAATCAGAACATTATGGTACTAATCCAGAAAATTAGACCATATAATTTAAAACATTTTTGTAGTCATGGACATATATTTTTGTTGATTCATTCAGTTCAGCCTGGTATACAATGCTGAGATGATTGGTTAAATTTGGCACATAGCTTAAGGCCATATAATAGAATATACTCCATTGATCCGTAGCAGATAATTCAATCTCATTACTATTAATTTTTTGCCAACTGGCAAAATCTCCCCAGGGTAAGGTCATATTTCTGGCTTGTCTGAGTTCATGAATTTTCATAGTATTTCCAGAAATAGTCTAGCCTCCTAGGAAAACTGCAAAATAGAGCTTGGATGATTGGAGTAATAATAGAAAAGACACCCTTCTCCCCTATGCCAATGCCAATTTGCCCAAAACTAAAATGGATAACGAGACATCAATTTTAGGCTTGAAATTATTCCTGTGTCTTATCCTAATTAATTATAAGGGGACTAAATAGTTGCTTGAAAAGTACAAGTAAATGTTGCTCAAGTTGGTGTGATAGTTATTTAAAGAAATTAATGCTAGCCTTAAAGCATTGAAAGTCCTTGAGACAAAAACAATTTTTACCTCCCTCATTGCCACAATAAGAAAAATATCTGGCTAAAGAATGAGATATGAGTTGGGATAGGAAGGGAGGTTACTTGAAAAAAATCTGAAAAAAAATCCATGTCATTTTCTGCTGGAGAATGGTATTCCACTGGGGGAGTTAAATGTTTAATTAAATTACAAACTTGAAGTGTCTTACATTTGTTAACTGCATTTATTCATATTCATTAATTACTATCTCAGTCTATTTTGTTACTACTGTAAACTAAATTTTCTGATCTACTTAGTGAGAAAACGAATTTAACTAAGTTGCCTTAAGGCATCACAGGTCTAGTTTAGGATAAAGCCATTTCTGAAAATAAGTTATTCTAAATCCAAATCCAGTGTTCCTTATTCATGTCAAGAAGTGGGAAACCATTTTCTGAGTTAGGCATGGAAAAATAGTGTTATATAAGGATCTAGAAGTGAAATTGGAGGGAGTTGGGGACAAACAAAGCAAAAAAGCTATTATTTACTAAGATATGTTCTACTATCATCCTACAGAAGATTAGTGCAATGTTCATCTTCTGCAAGAGCTTTATTAATATCATCTAATTTAATCTTCATTGAAAATGTTTAATGTATACATCATCATTTCTACCTTGGCTACAGTCATGGTTCTTTATGCTCATCCTGCTCCTCTTCCTGGTACTGCCCTGTTCCTGGGAAAAGCAAGAAGGTCATTAGAAGTAGCCTGAATCTTGAAAATGATGAAGAAGCAGTGGAAGGCTCAAAAGTTGAAAATTATAATGATAATTGAACACAGGTGAAAGTAGGTTAACAAAAAATTGGGGATACCAAAGTGAAGAATACATATTTGACAAACAAAAACTCTCCACATATACAATAAGGACCAACATGATTGTTATCAAAGAAGATTTCAACAGATAATATCTTGTCAATCAAGGGTACAGAAATCTTTGTTGTTGAATTCCAAGATGCTTTATTCCATTATCTTTAAAATTCCAATCTTCATGTCGATAATTTTATGTCTGTTCCTTCAAACACAGTATCTCTACCCTATGGTAGGCCAATTTTGGATGTCTTATTATTATTGTAGATCTTAGAGGCAGGCACACATTTGGTCTAAATATAAATATTTTACATGCCCACACATAAAATCTAAAATACAAATATTTGAATGCTCCCACACACTAGGATTATGTTTTCATCAAAACATTACAATTATTGGAAGAGAGGGTGAGCTAGAAGGAGACACTATCTTCACATATATTTTTCCTGCAGGTCTTGATCGGCTATTTGTTACTAGACTTCTACTAGACATAATCTACTCCTGGAATCTAGGAAGCAAAAGAGGTTGGCAGAGAAAAAAGAAAGCTGTGTTTCAAGTCAGAATGACTATGAATTGAACACATCAAGAAATGGTCAATCCGATCAATAAACTTGAACTAGATTATCTCAAAAACAGGCACAGGACATATCAGTGGAAGCTAGTTAGTAAAATGTTTCTCTGTGCAATTAATTTAGTCTCATCTATACTGTCTTAATGGTTATCAGCCTGTGCAGAGAAAATATGTTTCCCAGCTAACAGTAGGTCTTGTGTGTAGATTAAGCAATCAGATTCTATGGTAATAATCTTGCTAAAATTGCACTACATTTACAAATTTAAAAATTGGGTTTCCAAAACAGGAAATCTGTGTGGGCTTGTGAGAGAGAGAGAGAAAAAAAGAGAGGAGGGAAGAGAAGAACTGAAGGAAGGAAGAGAAATATTTGGAATAGAAGATAGGCTTTAAAAGTTTATAAAATTTGCCTACTTTTTTCAGTTAGTCAGTGGTAGGATAGAAATCTTAATTCAGGTCTGATGCCAAAGTCTCTAATTCATGCTGCCTCCACAATTTATATCACTGACATAATTCCCACAATAGATTATTCCTACTATTTCTCTCTTTCTCTGAAGTTATAATCTTCTTTAGGGTTCAATAATTATATGTATTATATAAGATCATTATTATAATCAAATATTTATTTACATGTTAGACAAGAAGGCTTCAATTGTTTTATATGAGCTCCATATCCTCAAAGTTGGAATTTTTTAACAAATTTTCTAAATTCTTACACTTCTGAATTATTTTTGTTATTCAGATTATTTGGTATTAATAGGACATCTTCCGTAAGGCTTCCAATTATTCATAACACAGACGAAATCATTGATAATCTACTAAATGCTTATTGAAATCCAATTAGTAACTTAAATAATGCTTCACCAGCTTGCAAAGATGAATGGTGGCATCTATTATGAGGACATTAAAATGTGTTTTACATTCTAATTATCATCAGTAAAGTAAGGAATAAGCATTTTTATTAATCTTGTGGAAATAGCATGAATTTTAATATCAATGAAATATAAATATTAATATCTGCACTCTGTTCGTGGTGTTTATTAAATGTCCCCCAAAACCGAAGTTCTGCATGTTTAATTTCATTGGTAATTCCCTGCCAGGTTTTAGATGTAGCACATTCTTCAAAAAGTGATCATTTCTACTTAGACATTATTTATAGTCATTTAATCACTTATCCATTAATTCAACAAATACTTATTACACTTCTTTGGGCCAAAATTTCTTCTTGGTACCTAGTTTATAGTCATGAACAAAATAGAAGAGGATGGTGCCCTTTTAGCACTGAACGAAGCTATAAACAAATAAATAAATATTATTATTTTTCAGGAAATGGTATAGAGAAAAATCAACCATTGCAGGGGAATCTGGATAGTATTCAATATCTTTAACAACTGATTGGCAAATTATATTCAATAAATGACCACCAGACTTAGCTTTGAAGCAGCATCTTACAGATGCCCTTCTAGGCAGATTTTTGGGTCCTTGGGAGTAAAGTTGAGGGGTCTGGGCAGCAGAGGTTCATTTAGGGCACTTGGGAGGCTCTTTTCTGACCCTTATGGGAATACAATAAAATCCCACCACAGCATGCTATGTGATATTCAAAATTTTAATCACATAAAGTATGGTGTTATGATATTGTGAGTTTAACAACAACAACAAAAATGAATATGTTTTTCAAACAGCCTGAACTGCTAAATGCAAAAGAAAAGAGAGTAAAACTTATATTTTACTTAAGTGACTATATACTAAACCTAGGAATTCTGAAAGAATCAGGTGTCCATCACTTTGTAACCCTCCTATTTTCCCCATTCTCCATATAAAATTTTTTCCCAGTTGCATTTAAGAACAGGTTATGAACAGAAAACAGGGTACTATGGTTTGAATGGTCTCCCCAAAATTCAGATGTTGCCAATGTGATAACATTTTTTATAGTATTAAGAGGTGAGGCCCTTGCAAGGTGATTGGGCCATTAGGGCTTTTTTCTCATTAATGAAATTAAAGCTCTTAAAAAGTGGCTTTATGCAGTGTTCAGATAGCATGTTCTCTTGTTTTTCTGCCATGTAATGGTGCAGCAAGAAGGCCCCCACCACACACCAAATGCCAGTGCCTTGATCTTGGACTTCCCAGCCTCCAGAACTGTGAGTAAATAAATTTTTGTCCTTTATAAATTACCCAATCTCAAGTATTCTGTTATAGTAGCATAAAACAGGCTAAGACACAGGTGTTGGGAGTGCCAATCACCTATTGTGCTATATCCAGAGCACATTATTATTGAGTTCTGCTTTATATCAATGTTTTAACTTCTGAAATATACTTGAACATATAATGTATACTTAAGTTGAAACAAAGAATACCGTCTTGCTACTTCTACTCTTTGTTCCTAAGCTTCTTTTCTGAAGCAACACAGCTCTCTAAAGACAGTTATAATGTCTTAGACTTACTTCTGTGACTTATACTATGAAGAATGCACACACTATTGTGGCAATCATATGAATATTACAGAATAAATTTATTTTTAATTCAAATAGTGACCATGAATTTATCTTTTCATGGTTGGCCTGGGAAATCGTGACATTAAGGAACACACAAAAATCAAGCATCCATGAGTGAGATAGTTTTGGGGATGATAAGACCAAAAAAATGCATTGTATCAATGCAACACATTATACATTAAACATTAATCAACCTTGTCCATAAATGTCCTTCACCATATCAGTGCTGCAGACCTTTGGCTACCCCACCCCATCCATGTGGGGGTAGTTTCCTTTCTTAGAACACACACACACATCAGGGCCCTTATCATGGTGCTTTCCTCAAGGAATATGATTCCTGTTAACAGAAATCTGGGCTATTCAGAATATAATGTGTTCACTGATACATATTATATGCAAGCTGAAAGTATGTATCTGGGTTCTTCTTCCTAAATTATTTGAGAAGTATCCAGTTTTGTTTTCCCCCACTTGACTTCTGTCTATAGTCTCAGAATAATACCATGATTTTGTTTTCATGAATGGTCTCTTTTCCCCCATTTTGACAGCTTATTTTCTTCTGAATAGTTCTTCTTTGTCTCTTATTACTGGGTGTTTTTGAAAAAGAAAAGCCTATTTTTTATAGCTTGCTTTCATATAGTTTCCCAAGCAAAACATGTACCAATGATCACAAAATCATCACCATCAGAATATTTTCAGATTGTCTGCACCCTTCTAAGGAGGTGGAGAATTTGTTGATTGATTGCTGCCAAGTTCAATACTATAAAAGTAATTTGAGGTTTACTGGGATGGAAACAAATAAATAATTTCTCCATTACTGCTAGTAAATCTGCTTGTGTTACTAGCAAGTAATATTTAAATGCATGTCAACAGAGGGACTTTGAAAATCTGGAGAAAATCAAAAGACAATATGGTCTCTAGTTAATTTTAAAAATATTTTAACAGATTAATATAAGATCCATACAGAAAGTAAAATACGTAAGTACTTGAATCAAGAAATGTAATACTACAAGATCCCCAAGAGCTCCCTTACCAATTTCATGCTTCATTATTTCTTCAGTGTGTGATCATACATTCCTACAAAAATACACTTTTTCCTTTATCTATTTTTGAAATTTATATAAATAAAACTACACAATTCATATCCTTTTGTGTTTGGATCCTTTATATAAAGTTTGTTGAATGCAGCAGTAATTTATTTAATTTCATTGCTGATGATGTTCTATCAAAGGAGTATGCTACAATTTATCCATTCTACTTTTGATAAATGTTTAAATTATTTTCAGTTCGGGGCTATTATAAAAAAATGCTGAAATAAATATTTTTGTATGTACATCCTGGTGTTTAAATGAATGTTTCTCTAAAGTATATGTTTAGGCGTAGAATTGCAGGGCCATGGGATACATGCATCTTTAAAATTACTGAATAATGACAAACTGTTTTCTAAAATGGGTTTACAATTTAAATTCCACACAAGAGTTCATAATACTTTTCATTGCTCCACATTATCCCCACCAATTAGCATTATCCTACTTTTGTTTCAACTTACCTGTGAGGTATAGAGCTGTCATGTTGTATGTTTACCATTACCCTTGAAACTAATAAGGTAAGCACTTAATATATTTTCACTGGCTACTTGATTTCCTCTTTTATTAACTGCTCAAAATTTCGCCAATTTTTTTCTATTGAGTTGTCTTTTTCTAATTAATTTGTAAGAGTTCTTTATACAAATTGATTGCCAGTTGTATATGTGGCAAGTTTATTTTCCTATTCTGTGGCTTATCTTTTCATTTTTTATATCTTTTAATGACCAAAAGTTCTTAATTTTTATATTGTCAAACTTATCAATCTGTTTCTGGGTATTCAGTGCCATTTCATCTTATTTAAGATATATTTACTTTCCAGAATTCTAGAAGACACTATATTACATTTTTAAAGTTTTATTAATTTGTATTTCACATTTAGAGCACTAATCTATGTGGAATTGATTTTTGTTTATTATGTGAAGTAGGGGTTCCATTTGGTTTTATTTCTTAAGGAAAACCAAGTTTCTGAGCACCATTTAAGAGTACCGTTTTTTTCACTTTTATGCAAGTACTGTGTCTGTCATTAATCAAGTAGCTGTATATACAAGAGTCATTCTGGATCTCTGTACTCTGTTCTTTTGGTCTATTAGTCTATCTTTGTATCCAAAAGACTTAATAACTATTTTTCGTAACTATATTTCTAGAATTGCCTCTCTGTATCTGGCCTGTTCTATTTCAAGTGCAATGGAGAAACAGCATATCAAATTTTATAAAAATTCTGGCTGGTTGTAATGGCATACTCCTGTAGTTCCAGATACTTGGGAAGCTGAGTCTGGAGGATCACTTGAGCTCAGGAGTTTGAGACAAGTCTGGACAACATAGTAAGACCCTCATCTCTAAAAATAATAATAATAATAATACATTGAATCTATAAATAAATTTGAGGATAATTGGTATCTTTGTATCATTGACTCTTTCAATCCATAAACATGATATACCCCTGCATTTACATACATTTTCTTAATAAGTCTCAATAAAACCATATGGTTTCACATGTAGACATATTGGATGTCTTTTGTTAGATTTAATCCCAGGCAATTTCAATTTTATGCTATTTAAATTAAAGTCAGATTTCACTCTTTTGTTTTCTTGTTGATATATAGAAATATCCTATATTTCTATGCATGTTATATATATAAACTTTGTTAATGTCACTTATAGATACAGTAATTTATCTGCTTATTATTTTAGATATTCCTTATACACAATCATAACACTTGTGGATAATGACAGTATATTTTTGATTCCTTACATATATTTTTTCTTTCCTTATTATACTAGCTAAAACATTGCATAAAAAATTGTATAAAAGTTGTAATAATGGTAGTTTTTATGTCATTCCTGTTTTCTAAGAGAAAACTTTTAGTATTTCGGAATTAAGTATGAAGTTTGCATTTTGGATAATTTCTATGGTTTGAATGTCCCCTCCAAAACTCATGTTGAAATTTAATTCCCTATGTGGCAGTATTGGAAGTGGGGACTTTAAGAGGTGATTAGGTCATGAGGGCTTTGTCCTCATGAATGGATTAATCCATTAATAAATTAATAGATTAATGGTTTATCACAAGAATGGGACTGGTGGATTTATAAGAAGACAAATAGAGACCCATGCTCTTCCCCCTTGCCATATGGTGCCCTGTGCCATCTTGAGACTCTGCAGAGTCCCCACCAGCAAGAAGGCCCTCACTGGATGCGCCCCGTTGACCTTAAACTTCTCAGCCTCCATAATTGTAAGAAATGAATTCCTTTTCTTTATAAATAACCCAATGTTAGGTACTCTGTAGTAAGAAACAGAAAATGGAATAATTCAATAATTATACTTGACCAGATTGAGGAAGTAGCCTTCTATTCCTAGTTTGCCAAGTTTGTTAAATCATCAATGAATATTAAATTTTATCAATCGTGACTTTTATATTTTTTAGGTTGCTTGTATAACATTTTTTAATGTAATGAATTTCTGAAGAAAATTTGTTTAGGATTTTTACATCTATGTTCATGACAAAATTTATCTCTAATTTTGTTATTCATACAGTCTTTGTTGCATTTCAGTATCAAGGTAATTTAGAAAAATGAGATTGGAAATGTGCCCTGTTTTCTATTCTCTTAGAGTTTGTATAAAATTGGAATTATTTCTTTTTTGAATATTTTAGAGAACTCATCACCGAAGGCATTTGGCTCAAAATTTTCTTTGTGAAAAAATTTCTGATTATCAATTTGATTCTGTATTTTTAAAATTACTATGATACAAATATAAAATAATAGACAAAGGGAACAGAATAGAAAGGCCCAAAATAGCACTGAAATAATTTAAGAAATATGATAATTTCTCTTCAGTTAGTTTTGATAACTTAGCTCTTTGGCAGTTTGAACATTTAATCTAAGAATTCAAGTTATTGCTAAAAAGTTCTTTGAATATCTTATTTTTTAAATAACTTCAAGCATTATGGAGATATTCCCTTTTTTATTATTGTGGTTATTTGTGTCTCACATTTGCAATTTGTTAGTCTCATTCAATTTTTTATATCAGTCATTTCAAATAGTCCCTAGTTCTTGGTCCCTAGTAGATGTTTGTTTTCTATTTGTTAATATATTATCATTACCATTTGCTTCTAGATTATTTAGCCTATTGTACTGACTTTTTCCCCACCAAATTGACTTGGTTATGTAGTTTATTAACTTTTAACCTTTATTTTATTTATTTAATTACTTTTTTTGAGACAGAATTTCTCTCCGTGTGTGTATTGCCCAGGCTGGAGTGCAGGGGTGCAATTATGGCTCACTGCAGTCTCAACCTCCTGGCTCAAATGATCCTCCCACTTCAGTTTCTGGAGTAGCTGGAACTGTGCCACCACACCTGGCTAATTTTTCAATTTTCTTTTGTAGATATAGGGTCTTACTATGTTGCCCCAGGTTGCTCATGAACTCCTGGGCCCAAGCAGCCTCCTGCCTTGGCCTCCCAAAATGCTGGGATTACAGGCATGAACCACTGCATGTGGCTCTTTATTTTTAATGTATACATTTAAGACTGTAAATTTCTACTAAGTACTGCTTTTACAACATTGCAAAGGTTTTGGTATGCAGTATATTTTGTCACCACTTTGATATTATGCTCTTTTCTAACTTTAGTTACTGTTGAGAAATCAGCTATGATTTCTGTAACTGTTGTTCATTGAAGACAATATTTTCTTCTCACTTATTTTAATATATATGCCTTTGTAATTTTAAAGTTTTACTGTAATGTGACTGTGGTTTTTTAATTTATATGGTTTGAGATTCATTGGATTTATTAAATTTATGGATTATAGTCTCATAAATTCTGTAAAATTCTCACACATAGTCACATCAAGTACTGCTTTGGTCACTTTCTTTCTCATCTAAGTTTTTGGATTCCAACTGAAGATATATTAGGCCTTCTCATTGCATGCTCTATGATTTTTACTCTTTTTGTTCCACCTTTATTTTTTGTCTCTATGTGCTAACTTTTTGATATAGTATGCTGAATTGATTTTTAGTTCACTCATTCTCTCTTCAGCTGTTTCTAATGGGTTTTTTGTATTTAATTGCAAGTGAAGTTTAATCTCATTTAATCTTCCTAATAACCTTTGAGGTTGTTTCTAGGAGTAGTCTCATTATATAGAGAGGGAAATTATGACTTTCAACGATTATGGAATTTTCCCATGTTCTCATAGCTAGTGACAGTACCAGCATTATCATCAGCTGATCAGATTACAGAAGTTTACTTGGAAATAAACAAGTAAAATTGTTAATAGAGGCCAGACACAGTTGCCCATACCTGTGATCTCAGCATTCTGGGAGGCCGAGGTGGGAGGATGGCTTGAGCACAGGAGTTCAAGACCAGCCTGGGCAACAAAGTGAGACCTCATTTCTACAAAACACGAAAACAAAAAGTTAGCCAGCTGTGGTGCTGCATTCCTTTAGTCCCAGCAACTTGGGAGGTTGAGACAGGAGGATCACTTGACCCCAGGAGGTCGAGGCAGCAGTGAGCCGCGTTCGTGTCAATGCACTCCAGCCTGGGTGACAGAGGGAGACCCTGTCTCAAGAAAATAAAATTGTGAATGGAAGTGTAAACTGAAGCTTAGGTCATAACTTTATTAATTCTTTTTTCTGCCATGAAAATATTGTCCATGACATAACCAGCTGATACTAATATTTGACACTAACATATTAAATGTTAATGTTTTCAATTGCCTGGAATTTGTATACTATATGTTATGTGTACATTTATTTGTGGTCTACACATTATCTCTTTCTGTATGCTTAGGTGAGAATGCACAATTTTTTTAACCCTGATATGAGAAAATTGCCAAAGTATATGTTAAAATTATATTGGTTTTACTTTAACTAAAGTTTTATTTACTATGAATCCAAAAAGAGGAAAACATTAAAATTCAGAGCTTGATGCATATTTACTTTCAAAAAGAAGAAAAAGGGAGAGGGAAGTAGAGAGAGGGAGGAGGACAAGGAAGGAGGGAGGAAAAGGGGGGAGGAGGAAGAGGGGAACAACTACCAAATCACTGAATACTATACAGCCATAAAAAGAATGAGATTTGCGGGGGGATTTGTGGCAACATAGATAGAATTAGAGACTATTATCTTAAGAAAAATAACTAAGAAACATAAAATCAAATATTATTTGTTCCCACTTATAAGTGGGAGCAAAACAATGGGTACACATAGATATACAGAGGGAAATATTAGACACTGGTGACTCCAAAAGAGAGAAAAGGGGAGGCAAGTGAGGGTTGAAAACTTACCTATTGGATACAATATTCACTATTAGGGCGATGGATACACGAGAAGCCCAAATCTCAGCATCATGCAATATATCCATGTAACAAACCTGCACATGTACCCCCTGAATCTATAAAAAAATGAAAAAGAGATGGAAGCCCCCTCAAAAATAAAATAAAATAAAGGACTATAAAGTTATCAAAAAAATAAAACACTAAAGAACATCCGGTATAAATTTCATCTCTTTTTCCACCTTGTAGGTAAACCAGGAACTAATTCCACATGATACACCTGATGGGGAAAGAGGCATAGGCACCTCTAAAATCAGAAGAGCGAAAAAACTTATAAGCCCTCACCTATCTATAGCTAACTGAATTAGCACATATTGACACTTCAGCAGAAACATGCTAAATAATAGATAGCAAAGCGCTCCTGAGAACATCCTCATGTTCTTTGCTCTGCTGAAGCTCACTGCGGATACGCATTTTCAGAACTCTCACCTAAGCATTTTTTCAGCACATTAAAATGTTGCTGTAAAGCACCTTACTAAAATATCAATTTACCTATTCAGAGAGTCCAAGCCTATGTCCCACATTTTTGTGATATATAGCAAACTCTCACTGTAATAGACAAAACTAGTTAAGTAGAAATACTTGTTCTTATTTTCTAATATGTGAATTAGGTCAGAGTTTCCCAGAACAGTACTTGTTTAGTGAATGCCGTTATGTCATAGCAAGCAAGTTTACCCTTATTCACACCAAGACCATAAAGGAAGTGTCATTTTGGAAGGAATATTAATACACAGGCATTTATAAAGCTGATTATAAAATCCTATTTAAGCAATATGATTGTTGGTTCCAGTATAAACACATTGTTTAAAACTGGGTATGATCTAAATAAGAATTAATCGTGAACAAATGGTACATACAAAACAACTCATATTAATAGAAAATTTTAGAATTATGAGTTTATTTAAATTGTGGATAAACAAAAGCTTGAAATATTAGGATATTGTACAGTTTTTGTGATCAATGGGTAAATGCATCATTCAAAAACAAGGAAAGAGAAAGATTATAAGGTTAGAAGTGTTCTTAAAATGTTAAAAATAAAACTCAAATTTGGACAACTACATTTCTGAATATTAGTAACAAAATAATAAATGAGAACAAATAACATTTTTATAATTGGCTAAGTCTGGCATTGTAATGTTATAAAATGAAAGTTCATCAAGATCATACCAATAACATGTGCCAGTATTTTAAAATTTATTTTAATATATAATATATTTATCTTGATAGTCTCATTCTTTTCCATCTTTCGTCCAATGAATGAATCCGAAAACTGTTTTCAGTGTAAATGAGAATATCTTCCAAATTTGATATTGGTCGTGCTTTGACAGTAAACTATAACCTAAAATGTGAAACTAGCCTAAGAATATATGATTAAAGATCTGTAGAAAAATTCAAGTGAGTCATTGTACAGAAATCTAAATGAACCATACAATTTTAATTTTCTAAGTGTAAAAGTTTGCTTGGGATCTATAGTCTATTTCAAATAAAAGTGGAAATTATCCTTACATCATCCACTTAAAAGACATCATGTCAGAATGTAGATATGCATTATTTTAACTGGAATGTGAAGTAGATTTTTGTTTCCCACCATGACTGTGTATGTGCAGAGAGATGTGAGGGAAAATAACTATTTTAAGGAAAAATGGTGTATGCCACATGTCACCAAACATGCAACCATCTGAATACTTATAATTTACTGACATTTTTCAATTGAGAACAGCACATAGGTACCCTCTATGGTAACCCTTTGCCTGTTGTAACCTGTTAGGGCTTCATGCTTACGTTTTGTGTGAAGAAAGGCTGTAGCTTTAAACCCTTAGAGGTAACTGACTGAATTTAAACATAAAAATTTTGAGAAATAAAAAAAGGTAGCTGCACAAACCTTTTAAAGAGAGAGGCAGAGAGAAAGAGAGAGACTCATTTATGAAGCAGCATCTGGATAAAAAGTCATTACAGAAAATTCCATAGGTTTTTAAAAATTCACTTTAAAATTATCCACTCTGAATGCTAGGTAACTCTCTCTGTTTTCTACGTATTATTATCAAAGTCTAAGCCAATGCACACAAGTCAGATTGAATCAGTAGAACATGGTCAATCAATTATTCACAAATGTTTTAAAACTAACCATTGGTTTCAGCAATTTAACTCATGTTTGGTTTACATATACTTAGGCACAGCCAAAGCAAAACTTTGTTGTGCTCTGATGTCAGACTTTATTTTGATTGCATTCTGTTAGATTTTAATAGCCTGCAGCTGTGTGACTATAAGGGCTTCCTTCAGCTTTCCTAAAAAACAAACTCTACATGGTAGAAGATAATTTCCTTTGGTCTCACTTGGAACTACCAAGTAAGAATATAAAATCATAGCATTTAGCCCCAACTTCCCTCCACTCTCTCAGTTCTATAGAAACAATAAATTCACCAGAGAAATGGTACGAGAAACAAAAATTATGTGATTCTCAAAAGGCACATTGCTTGAGGTTGCTGTGGCAATTATTTTTTAGAATAATTTTCACACAATTTGACCTAAAAGAAGATACTTGAAGTCTTAAACCCTATTGATTGCTTTGGAGCTGTTTTACTTTATTTACCCCTTGTGGGTTATTTCTTGTCATTGTGAAAGCACATCCAAGAAGAGTGGCAACCATAGATATACATTTAGGCTAAGTGTCCAGCAGTTTAAGTAGTATACGTGTTATGGAAAAAAAAGATTATTAAATTATATATAAGTTTTAAAATTGAATTTAATGCTCTAAACTTTGATATAAACTTATATTAACTAATATTTTTGGCCTCACTTTCTTTTCAGATTCTCTAGGTTGTTGAAAAAAACATTTTTTTAATACTAAGCATCTTTCTTTTTCTGTTTTGTTCCTTGTCATGTTGAGGAAATCATTTCTATAGGGATTATGTGTCCAAGATAATAATTAGGAGGCTGGCCAAGAACGACCCTTGAGGCAGATGGATTTCCTTTTTTGTGTGTGGCTAACTTCATTACCTTCTGTAAACGATTTAGTATCTCTGTTCTTTATTTTCCCAACTTGCCAATGGGACTAGTTCAAGGAATAATTGTGAAGACAGAATGTCCTTCAAGACTTCTGATTTAATATAATAAAATAGAATTATTGCCATATATCCTCTCTCAAATCTTCTCAAAGGAAAATGTAAAGAAGAAACTGGAGAATAAACAATACAACGAATTATATTTTCAGTTGCACATGATAAACAGTGAGAAATCAGAGCTGAAACAATGATGTGAGTTTCCAGTGCCACCCCAGATCTTGTAAAAGTTAAAAATCAGTATTCTGAAAGGCATAACCAATGTCCCTTTGATTAGAACACCTTGAGTTTTAAGGTCACAGGAAAGATTGTTTAGGTCACTGCAGAGGCTGCGGCATGATACCACAGAGCCACAGGGAGGGGGAAGTAAAGTAAAGAAAATTATGCATTTGGCAGACCACAAGCCATTTCTGTTGTTTACAATTTTGTCTTTTGCTAGGGAAGGTGGGGGTGGGATGGGTGTTAAGTGGACCAAGGATGGAGGAAGGTCTGTGGATGCCAAATACTAGTATGGAGAAACATCTGTTCTATAAAGCTTTGCATCCAACGTCTAAGCAATGTATACTACCAGGATAAATAGCTCTTTGTAGGAAGAATGTGAAAGAAAAGCCCAAATAGAAAGAATGGACTGTTCAGTTCACTTCACTTCCCTTCCATTATTTGTCAGCATGTAGCCTGCTTCAATCAAAGATGAATAGGAAAGGAACCAAAATAGTACTTATTTATAATAACTGAAAAGGCAAATATAGAATACAAATTATAAAAAAAGAGCTGCCTAAATAAATATAGAAAT